>NT_187520.1:0-185285 GCF_000001405.40 Homo sapiens | reverse complement strand
GATCTCAAAAGACTAGGATCCTCAGACAGAACCAATCAAGTGCCCACATTATAATGAAACAGCAAGTAATGAGGGTACAGAATAAAAATTCAGATCATGAGGTACAAGAAAGCCTAAAAGCTACCAGAGAAGAAAATAAAAGAGTTAAATTCAAAGGAACACCCATCAGAATGGCACAAAACTTCCCAACTCCAGATGCTAGAAGAGTATAATCTTCCAATTCTACAGGAAAATACTTTTCAAAGTACAATTCTCAACCTAGCTACACAAGCAACTATGTGTGAAGACAGAATACGTTGTAGACACAGGAAGACTCAAAATTCAGCTCCTTCATTCTCCTTCTAATAAAGTTACTTAGAGATATGCAGAACAGAATGAGGATGTATTACAAAGAAAAGGAAGACTTGGGATCTATAAATCAACAGATCCGACAAAGGACATCAGGCCAGGGAAGTTTAAGGATGAGAACAACACACCCAGAAGCCACTGGCACATATCAGAGCAGGAGAAGGGAATGTCTAGAAAGAGGGTAGGACTTCTCCCAGAAAAAAACAGTACTTTAAAAAATAATCTTATATGATAGTTCTATAGTAGGCAAAAACAAAGTACGAATGGAGAGTCACTATTACTTTCTTGTTATTAAAAACTCCATGAAAGACAAAAGAAACTCATAGTATACTGTTTAGATCTGCAGTGAACATTTACTGAGTCATAACCAACACCTTATTAATTGAACTAAACATAGTAATACAACTATATTGGGAGAAGGAAGGAGGTGTATTTTAAGACCTAAATCAGAATTTATTTATTCACAGCAGAAAGTCAACAAAATCTAGCATTGATAAAGCAGTAAACCAGTTGATTATTTAGAGCTATAGCATTAACCACAAGAAAAAAGACCTGAAAAGATTAAAAGTGATTCCCTCAGATGTGGACGTAGAGTAAGACAAGAGTTGGTTGCTCATTACAAGGCCTTTTTTTTTTTTTTTTTTTTTTGAGATGGAGTCTTGCTCTGTTGCCTGGGCTGGAGTGCAGTGGTGTGATCTCAGCTCACTGCAACCTCCGGCTCCCATGTTCAAATAATTCTCCTGGCTCAGCCTCCTGAGTAGCTAGGACTAGAGGAATGAGCCACCACACTCGGCTAATTTTTGTATTTTTAGTAGAGATGGGGTTTTACTGTGTTGGCCAGGCTGGCTTGAACTCCTGCCCTCAAGTGATCCACCCACCTCGGCCTCCCAAAGTGCTGGGATGACAGGTGTGAGGCACCACACCTGGCCCATTACGAGGCTTTTAATGTCATTTGATTTTTAAACATGTATATTTATTATTTTGATTAGCTTATTGATTTTTAAGAATTTGTCTTAGATTACCAAGTTAGTATATTATTTGCCCAAATGAAGGAAATGGCCTGGGGTAAGATCAGGGTGGCTTAGAGCAGTAGCCAGCAAACATTTCCAATAAAGGGCCAGAGAGTAAACAGAAAGTTTTGAGGGCCATATGATCTGTTGCAACTTTATAAAAACTCTGCCAGTGTAATGCAAAAACCGCTACAAATATATGTAAACAAAAGAACTTGGCCATATTTCAATAAAAGTTTATTTGCAAACACAGGAAATGGGCCAGATTTAGTCTATGGGCCAGTCTGCCTGACCCTGGCTTAAACAATGACCTGAAGACAAAGTGGCAGACAGATCTGAGGTGTTTAGTGGCAGAATTTTTAAAATATTTATCTTCATTCCTACTAAGTTTTCTTCACAGATACCTGTGGTCCCTTTTACAACCAAACTCTCAAGTTTCTCCGCTTATATTCACTCTTCAAAACACTACAGTCTGGTCTCTACACCCACATCCACTCATAACTGCTTAAGCCAGGCTTGTCAAGACCTTCTTATTCTCAAATCTAATGGAAACATTAGTGTTTGTGTTTCTTGACTTCTAGTACTTCAACACTTCAACAATTTCTCTGTCTTTGAAATTTCCTTTTAACTTAGGTACTGGGGTTGTACTATCATTTTTTTCTTCCATTGAACCAGTTTAGCCTTAGTTTTAAAAGTTTTTTCAAATAAGATGTCATCCAGGATTCCATCCATGGTACCATGTCCAAAGTTGTTACAGATATGTTTTATAATCTAATACGGATACATGCTTCAACGATAATGGAGTATATGGGACCAGCCTGTTTTCCCATAAGATAGTAGAAAATTGGACAAAGTGTATGAAACAACTGTTTTCAGATATTGGACAACACATAGTAAAGGAGACAGTGGTCTCTGAGAGGAAGGAAACACTCAGGGAGTCCTATGATATTCTGCCTAGAAACATTTTCCAGAATGCTGCCCAGGGAGGGAGAACCTCAGCAGAGTACAATCAATGGCCTCGCTGAGGTTAGGGGAGGCGAGGCAGTGGAATTTGCAGGACACAGTACTCAAAATGAAGAAGCAATAAGGACTAAGAGCTCCAGAAATCTACAAAGGATCCCCTGAAGTCTTTGGTGGAACACCAAGCCGTACTTCTAGAAGCCCAAAGACCCACAACCAGGGGAAAGTACATCTACTGGGAATGTGTAAACTGCACAATTACCAGAGCTTGCAAAAGGCTCAAAGACAAGTGAAGCACAACCAGTCAGAGTACAAAGACACTGGTGAACAGGGGGTAGAATTCAGTAGTGATCCCAGAAAGGCCAAGTCTTAAGTATAGGGTTAAACTAATGCTAGGACTGCAGCTACCAAAATGTGGACTAGGGAACCCCAGTGGGTCTGTAAAGTTAAAACAAGTTTAAATAATACTAAGATTTAATTTGCCTTTTTTCACTTTAATTTATTCACAATTATACAGTGGTGTTTATAGAAGCTACATGTTGTATCATAATATTACATTGACATTGTACAGGTTGTGCTTCTGTAGTCTTGTGTTACAAAATGTTCCTAGTTTTAATTTCTAAAATGCTGAATAGTCCATAGTTAAAATCCTCATGAACAAAAACTATGGCGTCCCCAGTAATTTTAAAGAGTGTTAAGGTTCTAAAACCATAAAGTTTGAAAATATCCACCTTAGAGTGAAGGCTTTCTAGACTTGCCCCAGCAAGCTTAAAAAGAAGCTTCAAAGGTATCAAACTTATCCACAAACAATTGCCTCCTGCAATAAAAATGCAAGCTGAGCCAATTCATATATCCCTAGTATATTTCTAGATACTGCTGTATTTCTCAATGAGACTGCAGTATTCTATACTGTCCAAAACAGTGTCATGTAAAAGGAACCACACATAATTTTTAAAAACAGGAATAACTAGGTGTCTGATAGTGCACTAATTGTCCAATCTTAACTTATGTAAGTCGTACTCATCTGTAAAATGGGAATTCGGTAATTGTTGGATGGGTTAAAAGAAATACATTACTATCTTGAAAGGGATCTTATTCAATTTCCTTAGGTCCAAAACATTAAGCATTCTAAAAAACAAAATCTAATGATAGCAGCTACTTTTATACAGAATATAAAGTACAAAGAAGAAAAGAAACATGTTTTATGCATATATAACTCCATTTTTAATTGGCTTTATATACTCTGTGTTTTTCAGTCACATAGCATGAGCAACTAATTTTAAAAAACTACAGAAATTAACCGTACTAGTCTTCTATTTTGGATAGTATTAATTACAATCTTTCATTTTGATTCCTAAATTCACAAAAACCTGTATTACCCTATAAAATAAATACTAGTGTAGTTATCAACAAAGAATTCTGAAGGAGATAATGTTGATTTGCTTACTATACTGACATTTTACTGACAATGATATAACACAGTGATGTCTGAAGGGCAGGGGAGAATGGTATAAAAATCACTCATGGTTCACAACCTATTATTGAAACTGAGGTTAGTATTTATATTACATGGTATGGCAATACTAGAAAAGATTTCCTTGTGGAGTATACAGTTTAAGACCTCTGCTGTACAGCTATACCTCCATGCTTGCTTCCAGTGGCCATGACACTTTATTCAAATATGTAAGTTTTATTAAGACTGAGTTCTTAAAAAGAAAAAACCAAGAACCTTAGATACAACTAGTGAAGTATTGAGACCTGTCCATATTTAAAACCAAGCACACGATACCACTTAAAAGGTTCCCCAGAAAGCCTCTATCCTGAAATGCTTGAAAGTGAGCAGTGCTGACTCTCGATTATTACCGATTGCATTAAATATGACACTTGTTTTCTTTCTTTTGGCTATAAGGAGAAAATGTCATTTTGTATATGAGTGAGCACAGAGGAGACAGAATGTGGGAAAGAACAGAATGGGATAATAATTTTTTACTAAATACTCCAGTTCTCAGCTTTATAAGTCAACAGACAAAATGAATCAGCTAAACCTAAAATCTTTGTGAATAGTATAAAATGTCTTTTAAATTAAATGCATATATTTTTATGTTTTACTTTTTCAAGACAAAAGCAGGATATTAGTACAATATAAGATTTATAGAGGAGCAAATTTCTTGAGATAGGAAACCCTTAAAAGCAGTATTTAAAGTACTTAAATACTGTCACATATGTTTAATAATCATAATACTTAATTGTGAGAACTGGGAGCTCATGTTACTACTAAAACCAAATAAAAATTCAATACATATTTGTTAACTCAGTTTAAGGATGTTTACCTTAATACTGACACAGTATGTATGGTAACACTGACCACACTGAGAACAGGCAAGTAATCTTCCTTCTGCTCCTTGGCCAAAACTGCCACAAACTACACATGTATCCTGAAGTTAAGAAAACAGAACATATTTTAAATGGAGACTAAGCTAAAAACCTACAAATTTTACTTTAAAAATACCTTCTTAACTAATATAGCTCTATAGCTAAATATTGGATCACTTCTGTGTATATGAGATAAAGCAGAAATGTGCAAGGAGGAATTCAATGAGGAAGACAGTAAATTGTCAAGTTCAAACCTGATTCAAAGTGAATTTGTCACTGCTAGAAAACAACACAACCATATCGAGCACAGAGTTTTCTTCATCATCCTTATTTGATGAAATATCTGCAGTAGACACCTATAAAAAGCAAAATACACAAAATACGAAGTTATATTTTTCACTTGTTTTACACTTAAGTGGAAAGCTTCAGAAAATTCATAATCAAAACATATATTTTTGCTAAGGTCTAGAATAACAATTCCAAATATTAATGCTAAGATACTACAGCAAAATGGAGTCATGACATTTTATTATTCAACTCATTCTCTCTTTAGAGGTAGAATTCCTTTAGACCAAGAAGTAATGAGAAAATATAATAAACCTGTCTTAGTAAGACTTGATTATGCAGAATTCTAATCAAGAAACTATAAATGATAATATTATAGGTATGTACACCACAAATCTATCACTATTTTAATGACACACACTTGGGATCTGCAATGTAGTTAGTCTGAACTGAGATGTCCTGCAAACATAAAATACAGCACATAATTACATATTACATGTTGAAATGGTAATATTTTAGATATATCGGTCAAAATGGAAGGCATTAAAATTAATTTCGCCTGTTCACTATAACCTTTATTTTGTTTCGAGAGGAGTTTCACTCTTGTTGACCAGGCTGGAGTGTAATGGCGCGATCTCGGCTCGTTGCAACCTCTGCCTCCTGGTTCAAGCTGTTCTCCCTGACTCAGCCTCCCAAGTAGCTGGGATTACAGTTGTCCACCACCATGCCCAGCTAATTTCTGTATTTTTAGTAGAGACGGGGTTTCACCATATTGGTCAGGCTGGTCTCTTAACTCCTGACCTCAAATGATCCACTGCACCCAGCTCACTGTAACTTTTTAATGTGGCTACTAGGAAGTTTTAAATTGCATATGTGGTTCTCATTATATTTCTATTAGCACCGCTTTAGAATATTATTTTGAATAACATCCAAATTTCAGTATCAGCCAAATGATTATCAACCAATATTGTTCAGTCTGGACTTAGTTCTATTTGACTAAATCAACTAAGTAGCCACTGGTTTGTTAATAATTTCTAGAGTGATATGAAACAAAATAAAGCTCTGAACTAGAAGTTGTAGAAGAAGACAAGGAGGGCACTGCCAAAATCATAAAATACAATCCTCTTTCTTTAAAAAGCTTACAACCGAAGCCTGGAAAGACAGAGTTGAAACACAACAGGTTATGTTCAAGGTCAAAACATAAAACGACTGAATTACTTTTCTTGAGGAACAACTGAAAGATTAACCAGCTGGGTGTGGTGGCTCATGCCTATAATCTTAGCACTTTGAGAGGCTAAAGTGTGTGGATCGCTTGAGCTCAGGAGTTCGAGACCAGCCTGGGCAACATGGTGAAATCCTGTCTCTACCAAAAATACAAAAAACAGCCGAGCGTGGTGGCACACGCCTGTAGTCTCAGCTACTCAGGAGGCTGAGGCAGGAGAATCACTTGAACCCAGGAGGCAGAGGTTACAGTGAGCCAAGATTACGCCACTGCACTCCAGCCTGGGTGACAGAGGGAGACCCTGTCTCAAAAAAAAAAAAAAAAAAAAGAGGAAGGAAGGAAGGTTGGTTGGTTAACTAAATAGAAGGACTATATCTCAGTATTTTTCAATACAAATACATTTAAAAGCAGTTTTTTTTGTTTGTTTGTTTTTTTGTTTGTTTGTTTTTGAGATGGAGTCTCGCTATGTCACCCAGGCTGGAGTGCAGTGGCACAATCTCAGCTCACTGCAAGCTCTGTCTTCACGGCATTCTCCTGCCTCAGCCTCCCGAGTAGCTGGGACTACAGGCGCCTGCCACCATGCCCAGCTAATTTTTTGTATTTTTAGTAGAGATGGGGCTTCACCATGTTAGCCAGGATGGTCTCGATCTCCAGACCTCACGATCCACCCACCTCGGCCTCCCGAAGTGCTGGGATTACAGGCATGAGCCACCGTGCCCAGCCTAAAAGCAGTTTTAATGGATAGTACTAATGCTTTATAAGAGCAATTTATATTCATATGAACCCTAATGACTACAAGTGTTAATAATGCCAATATTCATCATTAGGGAGTAAGTAAAGCCATGACAAATCCAAACATTAGAAAATTACGCAACATTTTAAAAGTAGGGAGGTAGAAACTTGTATAGACTGCCATGAAAGAAATTATCAAAAGACGTTGTTGATGAAAAAATAAATTGCAGAACAGTATTTGAGGTATAGCACTATAATATAAAAACATGCAAAGTCATTATATGTAGTCTATGGGCACATACAATAGGTTGAATCATAAGAAATTGCTGCTTTTCATCAGTTCAGAAATAATATTGGCAATTTCATATGGATCAACCTAATATATAAATATACCAAACTGGTAACAGGGAAATAAGGAGGACTTGAGGAGTTAGTAATGGTAAATTCTGATCTACCTATAACGCTTTAATTTTTTTAATAGAGAAAATGTATTGATGTGTTGTATGCATAGCATTAACAAAATTAGCTTTCTAAGATTTTAGAGAATCATCCAAGATGATTCACAAAAGTAGAATCATCATCACCAGTAAGAAACTAAGTGACTACTAAAAGTAATCATTAATTCAGTCATAGGACTAATGATGCATTGACAAGGTTATTGAGATATATAATTATGGAAATGGCTAAAATAGAGATAAAGTATCTATTTCTACCTCCCAACCACTAACAGAAAATTCAACACATTATACACACTGAGCAGCTCAAAGAAATTGTAAAGGTCCATTATTATTTTTAAAAGGAAATTTAACCAGTGGATGCTTTCACTGAAAATGATAAACAATATATTCCCAGTATAAACCAGAAACAAAGTCTGCAGTAGAAAACTACAATGTCCCTAGATTCAAGTGGGGGTGGGGAGTCATATTTAAATAATAAGTGCAGAAAAACCAAAATATTTTAAAATAATTGTCCATGCAAGAAAGAAAACAGTATCCTCTAGCTTGAAGACCCACTGTTTTTATTTTATAATTTATTTCATGACCTTTAGACTGCTAGAAAAATAAAACCTAACTTGAGGGCAAAGGTAATCTTTGAGAAAATATGTGCTATTGTTGCCTGCATAGATAATAGTGTGATTTATCCAGAAGGTGATAGAAATTTCATTTTCCTAGACCACAGATATAAGCCAAGGAGAATAGAAAGCTCTGACCTAAACTTCACAAGTGTCCCTTCCAAGCAGGGACACGTAAGAGTAAACAAAAAAAGAAGATCAAACTAAACTCAAAGTGAGAAGATAGGAAAAAATAAAGATGAGAATATAAATCAATAAAACAGAAAGGGGAAAGAAAATAGAGAAAAGTCCATGAAAACAAAGGCTGACTCAAGAAGATCAATAAGATTGATAAATCTCTAGCCAGACTGATCAGGAAAAAAATAAGACAAGATACAAATTATTAGTATCAAGAATGAGGAAGGTGAAATCACTACAGATTCTACAGGTATTAAAATAATAAGAAACATTATGATCAACTCCATTCCTTTAATTTGTCAAGATAGACAAAATGAACAAATTTCTTGAAAGGTGCAAATTTATGCAAGGAGAGACAGATAACCTAAATAGGTACCTATTAAAGAAATAAAATTTGTTGTTAAAAACTGTCCCACAGGCTGGGCACCAGTGGCTCATCCCATAATCCTAGCACTTTGGGAGATGGATCACCTGAGGTCAGGAGTTCGAGACCAGCCTGGCCAACATGGCAAAACCCCATCTCTACCCAAAACACAAAAATTAGCTAGGCATGTTGGTGCATGCCAGTAATCCCAGCTACTCAGAAGGCTGAGGCAGGAGAATTGCTTGAACCTGGGAGGTGGAGGCTGTAGTGAGCAGAGATCACGCCACTGCACTCCAGCCTGGGCATGGTGGCTCATGCCTGTAATCCCAACACTTTGGGAGGCCAAGGCAGGTGGATCACATGAGGTCAGGAGTTCGAGACCAGCCTGGCCAACATGGTGAAAAACTGTCTCTACTAAAAATACAAAAAAAAAAAAAAAAAAATAGCCAGGCATGGTGGCAGGCACATGTAATCCCAGCTACCCAGGGGGCTGAGGCAGGGGAATCACTTGAACCTGGGAGGCAGTGGTTGCATGAGCTGAGATTGTGCCATTGCACTCCAGCCTAGGCAACAAGAGCGAAACTCCATCTCAAAAGAAAGAAAAAAAAAAAAAAAGAAAACACAACAAAAACCCCCCACAAAGAAAATTTCAGGCCAAGATGGTTTCACTAATAAATTCATGTATAATATAAGAAGATACATTTCCACTACTACACAACTTTTCCAGAAAACTGAAGATGAGAATATACTTTCTGATTCATTCTATGAAGCTGGAGTTATGCTGATACCAAAACCAGATGAAGACATTACAAGAAATTAAGACTACAGGCTGGGGCATGGTGACTCATGCCTGTAATCCCAGCATTTTGGGAAGCCAAGGTGGGAAAATTGCTTGAGCTCAGAAGTTCGAGACCAGCCTGGACAACATAGTGAGATGCTGTCTCTATTAAAAATTTTAAAAAAGTAGTTGGGTGTGTTGGCACACAGCTATGGTCCCAGCTACTTGTGAGACAGAGGTGGGAGGTCAAAGCTGGAGTTAGCTATGATCGCACCACTGCACTCCAGCCAGGAATTAGAACGAGAACCTGTCTCAGAAAAAAAAAAAAAAAAAAAAAAGGAGGAAAAAAAGTGCACAGGTCTACAACCGTGGTGCATCCACAGTTTTATTAATATTCAGCAAGAAAAGGAAGTACACTGTTAACAAGTACAACAGCATAGATTAATCTCCAAATAATTGTGCTGAAATAAATCAGTCCAAAAAGCACACAGTTCTGTATGATTCCACTTATATACAACTCTAGAAAATGCAAACTAATCTTGGGGACAAGGACGGATGGCAGGGGGAATGCAGAAAATTACAGAGGGACATGAAGAAACGTTGGGAGATGAATATATTCACTATCATGATTGTGGTATCGTTTTCAAGGGTGTATATGTATATATCAAAGCTTATGGAATTGTACATGTCAAATATAGCTTATATCAACTATACCTCAATAAGCCTGGTTTTAAAATTTTTCTTTTTGAAAAAAGGACAAGAATCTAAGCTTCCTTATTCCTGGTTTAGTAGTAAACTTGAACAATTTCACCTGTCTCCTATACTTAAAATGACATTTCAGAATTTTAAAAACAGGATTTTAATAAAATAGCGAAGTTATTACATAAAATATTTGCTAGTAGTTAACAAATATATTTGTAATACACATATAAATAAAGCCTCGTAACATGATAGTAAGCAAATATCAATCTTAAAATTTTTTAAATAAAAGAGCAACTATATTACATACTGACTTTTTAGAGAGGGTTGGCATAGAAAGATAAGGAGTCAAAGAGGAAGGTAAGAAAAGAGAAAGGATGAGAAAGTAAATATACAAGAAAACGTAACCAGAGGCTCAAAAAAAAAAAAAAAAGCAAAGTAGGACAGTAAAATAAACATTTTGACCTATTTATATGATTTTTAAGTTCAAAATAACTTGCTATGAGATTTTCATCATTAACTGACATTTAGATTAGAGAAAATATACATGAAGCAAGCCTCACCCCAGGCAATACAACAGCTCCGATTCCACTTTTCAGCTTTGACCTGCCTCGGCCACCTCGCCCCGACAGTCCTGCACCTCGAGGTCTCCGCTTTCCTGGAAATCCAGACCCATGGCCCTATGTAACAGATTAGGAAAAGTCAACATTCTGTGACAGCCCAAAATAATTTTTAAATCCAAATGCCACTGAGATAAAACATTTTATTAAATGTTATACAAACACTTCTTTAGATAAGTATTAAGAGACCTGGCTTATTATTTTTATCTTTAAAAGTATATTCCACAACTTAAAATTCTAAATATAAAATGCTTACAACCTTAGAATCATACTTTCGGGCTGTCACTGTGAACGCTATCAGCAAGCCTTTGCATGATTTTTCTCTTTGCCACTCCTACATTCTCGGTGACGACAACAACTATAGCCTTATCCAGATATTTCGAAGTGCAACAAATTGTATTCAATATAGAGTAAGGATAAGGAAGAACTCTCTCATTAACTGGTCTCGCGGTGATTACAGTAATAGCTAACATCTATTGAGTACTTACTATGTACTAATCTAAGTATTTTTTACTCTCAACAATCCCATATAGTAGGTTTTATTATCCTCGTTTGAGATGAGTGTGCTGAGGAATAAAATGGTTAAGTAACTTGTCCAAGGTCGCTTAGCTAGCAAGCCTGGCTCCAGCGTCCCTGGGTTGGAAGCATATTCTGTACTGCTACATCAGCATGAAAGTTTATTTTTGCTAGTGTGTAACAGTATTCTTCCTGTCATTAAAATTAAGTCAGTTTCCTTCACTATTCAACAGTTCTCTTATGAACTCAACATTTCTACCTCATTCACCATTGTATTTAGAGGAAAATTTATTATTATTGTTATTACGTTTATTTTTGAGACAAGAACTTGATCCGTCACTCAGGTTGGAGTGCAGTGGTGTGATCACAGCTCACTGCAGCCTAGAACTCTTGGGCTCAAGTGATCCTCCTGCTTCTGCCTCCCAAAGTGCCAGGATTACAGGAGTAAGCCAAAGCGTCCAGCCAGGAAAAATTATTTGAGGATTACAGGAAAGCTGACAAAAGGCTTTGTGAAAGCTTTGCTTTAAATAATCTGAATAATAAATACTTGAAATGGAAATAATTTATCTGACTTCTTACACAAGAAATAAACCTATGGGAAAATGTGTTAAATTCCCTGATAATTTCAGACATTAAGTACCAGAGTATGGTGTTCCCTGCCCCCTCACCCTTGTTCGTACTAATTAATTACTCCTTGAAAAAACCTGGCACCTACCTAAGTAGATGAATTATGTGTATTTAAAATTATCCAGATGCTCAGGAAAATACTTAGGTGTTTCCCTCACCATAAGTTAAATAATATGTCATATCTTCAACTGATGTCCCTTATCATAGTTTGAAATAAACTGATTCCCTATTTAGCAGAATGGTTTCCAAGTCAAAAATTTATGATGATACTGTAAGCATAAAATAGAAACACATGAACAAAAGGAATGGGAGGAATGGCTTTTTTCCCTTTGGATGTAATAAATACAGCCAGCTCCCAGTTTCAAACTGCCACTCCTGTCTTCTCTTACCCTGCTCTCCTTGAGATCCCTTTTGAGAAGTGCATCAGCTTCTTTGCACAACAGATAGATGGGGTCAGGTTAGTTTTTTGGGTTTTTTGTTTGTTTGTTTGTTTTTGAGATGGAGTCTCGCTTCTTTGCCCAGGCTGGAGTGCAATGATGTGATCTTGGCTCACTGCAACCTCCATCTCCTGGGTTCAAGCAATTCTCCTGCCTCAGCCTCCCTAGCAGCTGGGATTACAGGCACATGCCACCACGCACGGCTAAATCTCTTTGTATTTTTAGTAGAGACGGGGTTTCACCACTTTGGCCAGGTTGGCCTCGAACTCCTGACCTCTGGTGATCTGCCCCCTCAGCCTCCCAAAGTGCTGGGATTACAGGCGTGAGCCACTGCGCCCGGCCGAGTTTGTTTTGTTATTAAACTGGTATAAAAGATTTTTGAAAAATTAAGTCAGTGATTAAAAATCAAGACTACAGTAATCTCTCAATTTATTTTCTCAAACATGAAATGCTGACCCAGAAAAAAGGTAAGTAAAAATTGGTGGTCTATATTATCAAACTGTCAAATGAGGTATATTTATACCTCAATATCTTGGATGATATCAGGGGGAGGTAGGGAGGTTAAAAAAAAATAGTTCTTCCAGTCATGAAAGAAAATAAAGTATAATCTAGAATTCCTTAAAATCCTTGATTAGTCTGAATTAAACAGCCATATTCCAGAATATTAAATATAGAATATGAAGAAAAACTGTCATCTCCAGTCAATGAAGTATTTTAACTTTTGAGTTAATACTTTTTCAAATTAATTTTTTTCTCTTCAAAATGCATCACACTACTTAACTCACTTCAAGGACTGGCACAGCCATCAACCAATGTCATGGGGGAAAAAGCCTTGTCATTTTAAGGTATTAAACAGACAATGAAATCTGCCACAATTTTGGTATTTCTTCTCCATAAGAACATAATAAATTAATGGAGTTTTTTCTTTTGCTTTTTTCTAAGCAACAAAGTTTTATGATATCATGAATGAAAAGGTCCTTAATTACCTTTTGGTCTACATGTCAAGGACTTCTCCCTCATAAAACCGGTAGTAATCACAACAAAAGGAATTAACCATAAAAAGAGGTATTAAAAATGTATATTGATTTTTAAATGCAAGCATATTATTTCTTTACATTAAAATTTTTAGATTTAAAAAGTGTTTCTGGAAGCTCAATCTAGAAAAGAAAGATTTAATTCTTTACACCCAGTAGGGCAAAACAAATCAGACAGAAATGATATATGAATGTAAATGCAATTTTATTTACCACTTTGATGCTCCAAATGGCACTGCCAGGAAGCTGCCTGGGTTTAAAAATTTCCCGACCTCCTGAAATGTCTGGGGACCAGGAAGGTGGGCTCACTGTATTATGGGTACTCCAAGCCTCCTAGGATATGGCAGTTGAGAAAATAGATGTGTAAAACTCAGCAACATAAAAGGTCAAAGCCAGCAACTAAGGAATTTTAGAACAGCAAAAACAAATGCAAACATATGGAAATTTAGGACAAATTGCTTCAAGGAAGGCAAAATAAGCTAATCACTAACAGTGATTTAAACATTTAAGTATAACAAATAACTTAAATGTTTGCTGCTACAGAGACATCACTACAATGAAACATTAAAAATTAAGGTTTATATGACATCAACATTGACTCATGAACTGCAATTACTGCACCAAAAAGTAAATAAAAGTCAATCACACTTTAAGAATTAACACTAGAAGAAAGTATTGGGGGGTTATTTTTCTTCTAACAACTATCACTCTACTTAAAAGGAGAAATGGATAACCATAAGGAATTCTATATTCTATAGCTATAAACAACCAAAACCAGTAGGCCAAAGAATGCAATGAGAAACATAAGCAATAGATAAATGCATAAACTTTACACTGTAGAGAGCTGGTAACATTAAAATGCAAATACCATTATAATCTTAGCATTTAATCACTCTTTCTTCAGTGACCATTAGTTGCCGGTTTGGTTTCGGTTTTTACTCAGGGAAATGAATACTTTATGGAAATTACATCCAATGGACAAAAGTGAAGAAACGTTAAAGCAAATTGTCCTAAATTTGCAAATTAAAATGCCTAAAGTACCTGATAAATTATATAGAAAGTAGTATCTTATTAAAATCTATATAACTAAAACTAAAGCATTTTACTTCCAAACAACCACATTCAGCAATACCCTGAACTAATCTGAAGATGCTAAACAGCATAAAGAAAAATGTTTACTCCACAAAGATAACATTTTAAAGAAAAACAAGACAAATGTCAAACAATACAAGGATATATTTTGAATTAGGTAATTCAATGGTGCATGCATAATTTTACCAATCAAGTAACCAAAACTTAAGACAAGGTACATAGTACTTACCAGGTTTCTAGAATATCATCAAATTAACAAGTACTATCTCATTAATCACATAAAAATACCACCAGGAATTAAAATAACCAGAAATAAGAATGTGACTACTCTTGGGGTAAGAGATAGGTAACGGAATAACGGTATTTTGGAAAAGCCACACAAGCAATAGACTGGTTTCATTTTTAAGTCACAAACTCAACCCACACACATTGAAGTCCAGCAATTCAACTCATTCTCTCCAGCAAACACTTTATTTTTTTCCCCCTCCAGGATTACCCTCAGGTGTTCTTTCTTACCCATCAAATCTCTAACCTAGCTCAGGTAATCACTATGCTGATTTCACTGAGCAGCAACCACTGCAGGTCAATTACCTCACTTTCATAATTTCAAATCAACTTGAATCTGTACCTATGTCTTCTTCCCTACTATTAGTAGGGAAGTGTTGTCAAAAGCCGTTTCTCTTTTCTCATTTTACTCATGCTCCTAACATCTGGCATACTGTTCTGCTGGATTTGGCAGCAGCCCACCTGTGGATAATTCACTGACTTCCTCGCTAATCTTTCTTCATCTCCTGTACGTGTTCTTCCTCTATTTGACTTCCAAAGCCCTGGAGTTTCCCAGGGCTTGAGCCTAGATCCTAAATGGTGTTATCTACAATGAGGGCATCTTGCAAGTTGATGCTTCCCACATTCTTATTTCTAGTTTTAATCAAAGATCTCCAAATTAGCAGGATTTTCAACTTCCTCCTTAGCATTTCCATTTTCTCACATAAAACCCCTCTTAATTTTGCCATGGTTAAAATTTCTCCCTTAACCGGTTTCATCCCAGTCTTCCCCATCCTTATAAATGGCATCCAGTCCCTTGTCACTCTCCTCTGCTCCTTCAGTCCTCTCCCCCAACACCTCGTCAATGCAAATCATCAGCAAATTCAAGACTTTTTATCTTCAAGTTTTGTCTCCGATCCTTCTGCTTCTTGTCACTTCCACCACTAGCAGCCCACTCGTGGCCACCACCATCTCTCACCTAACCTGCTACAAGAGTCTACTGCTGGTTATGCTTCTCCCACCCTGCATCTACTCAAGCCTTTCCCCACAGCAGCCAGAGGAACTTTTCAAAAGTACAAATGTGATCAAGCAAGTCACTATTCTATTTCAAATCTTCAATTGCTTCTCAGAGCACTTAAAAGACAAACCTTTCCCAGTGCCTTTCTCCAGCTCATCTTGTGGCACTTGTCTCCCTGCTGCTATGCTCCAGCTATTCTGGCTTCCTTGCTGTCCTTCAAACATGCCAAGCTCTTTATCAATCAGAGCCCAACTGACTCAGAACACTTCACTATACCATTCCAGCCCTTCAATAAATGTCTGGCATTTTCTTTCTTTCTTTTTTTTTGAGATGGAGTCTCGCTCTGTCACCCAGGCTAGAGTGCGGTGGTGCGATCTCGGCTCACTGCAACCTCTACCTCCCAGGTTCAAGCAATTCTCTTGCCTCAAGCCTCCTGAGTAGCTGGGATTACAGGCATGCACCACCACGTCCGGCTAATTTTTGTATTTTTAGTAGAGAAAGGTTGTCTCCAAGTTGCTCAGGCTGGTCTCCAACTCCCGACCTCAAGTGATCTGCCCACCTTAGCCTCCCAAAGTGCTGGGATTACAGGTGTGAACCACTGCGCTGGGCCAATATTATTTTTTTAAGAAAATACTAATAAAAAGGAACAATTGATATTAAATAAAATTTAACTATTGACTATAAATATATGTTTCAAGAGATTTGAGTGAAAATACCATTCTACGTTAAAATAAAAAATATAACATTCGATAACTATAGTAATAACATGTTCTCAAAGATTCAAGGGGCTAAAGCCAATGAGAAAAAGTTAAATATAAACATCTTACAATTTACCTAATTACTTGAAATAGAAACTTATGTTCATTCCTGTATTTCTCCATTTTTCCAATTTCTAATGTCTACTTCTTTCCATTTTGTATTTTCTTGTATTGAGGCAATTTAAAGAGGATATGCCAGGTCTTCAAAAAGCCAAGAACTGAACATAAGCACTCTGGAACCTACCTGAACTTAATTTTGTCCAAGATTTTTTTAATGGTTGAAAATTGGCTCAACTGGGGATACTAAGAGGAAATATCAGGGGCAAAGGGGATTTGGGTTAAACAGATCGAACAGGATTCTTACTGAAGGCAGGCCAGACTGATCAGAAATCATCTGGAGGGTGGTGGGAGATAACAAATTTGATCAGATATCAAAGGTGATCAGTACTGAGAGTGGGGGATTCTTTGCAAGTTTCTTCCTAAACCTGAGAGATGTGGGCCAGACTAGGATGAACACTGAAAGCTGAGGCTGAGAGGTGGCTTAGAGGATCCCAACTAGAGTTTGGGCAAGGGGAGAGGCTTTGTCAATGCAAACATGCATTCAGCAATATTACCAAGTACAGATGCATGCACATAAAAATACTGAAAGGAAATATAAGAAAATGTTTAAAAATTTTTAGTGGCTTATTTATTTTATGTAATTTAAATATATATATATATATATAAAATTAAGGTGTACTTTGAACACATACTAACACATTCAAAGAATTAAGTATACATTTGATAATACATAATAGTTACAAAATAAGCAAGGTCTTCATGCAAACGAGTTTAGAATTTCCAGGGTTTATTACTTAGCATTTGATCAGCAGGCCTGTAACTTCTTCTGCTGCCCATTCATTGCCCATTTTATTAAAAATTCCTCAAGTGGATGCATTGGAATGGAAGAAACACTGACTCTTTCCTTCAAAGAAGGAAACAACAAACCTTGTTTGACAACCCTGGTCAAACAAGACAAGGACCAAGTGGCCAGTGGTAAGGAAAGTTGGTCAAAACTAATGAATGACATTTTAGATTAAAAGTGAATTTTATTTAACCCAATTATTCTTATCCTATGCACACAAATTTGAATTTAAGTTAGCTTGATGTAGATGGTCACCCCATTCCAAAGCATGAGTCCAAATACCCTAAGGTTCCAGAAGGAGCCAGCTTTCTTCAGAAGGTGGCAAGCGCATTGCAAAGTACTGAGGAAAACTTTCTTTAAAGTATCTTTTTTCATCATTCCATATTTTGCTCCTTATAATTGCAACTGCTCTCCTTATATGTCTCTTTTGAAACTTCTCACTTGTCTAAGGTGCTATTGTTCCTCCTCATCTTTTTTTTTTTTTTTTAATAGCATAGTCTCTCTCCCTCCTTGCCATGCTGAAAAGGCTTCTGACTTGCTGTTCTTGCCAGGAAATATTTCTGCAGGGCGTATTGGAGTGGAACTACTTACAGAGTGTCAGGGCAAGTCCTTACATTTGTTTATGCTTAGGACACAACACAGAAGATAATTTTCTAAGTTAAAGATTGTATGATTTTATCTTGACTTCAGAAACTGGTCATACTTTTTTACTTTAGTTTCTAAGAACCTCAGAGCTGAACTTGAAACAACTTTAATAATTCCAATGAGACATTTGTTATTTATCCTTTTTAAAAAAGACTTTTCTAATTTAAATAATTTTATTATTGCTCTAAATTTGCCAGGTTCATTTAAGAATTTTATAAACTGTTTTAAAACTAATTTACATTAAGTTGGAATAAAGTTAACCAAATTAATACAAACATATTTTATTGCACTTCTCTTTATTGTGCTTCACAGATAGGAACATTTTTTCTTTATTTACAAATGAGATGTTTGTGACAACCCTGGTGAAGCAAGTCTATTGGTGCCATTTAACAAACAGCCTGTGCTCACTTTGTGTCTTGGTTTCACACTTTGGTAATCTTCACAATTTTTAAAATATTTCCTTATTATTATATTCGTTACGGTGATCTGTGATCAGTGATCATTAATGTTATGGGAGGCAGAGTTTGCAGTGAGCAGAGATCATGCCAGTGCACTCCAACCTGGGCAACAGAGTGAGACTCCATCTCAAAAAAAAAAAAAAGGAGTTTTTATATGTAGGGTACAAAATACTATCTGACCTTAGGGTGTGTGCAAATTTTTCTGAATTAATTAAGACTTAAATACCAACAGGAGTGATTGTTTTTGTTACAATCACCAGGTGGGTGATCTGATACTTTCCCCTGAAAAATGCATATACAAAATTTTCACATAATTTAAAAACATCCACAGATGCATAGCTATGGATTCAGTTTATGGATCAAGAATTCAACTCCTCAGAAGTAAAAGATTACATGAGAAAGTATCTGATATTGAGGTGACAAGGAATAATGTTGAAATGTATCTCATTAAAAAGTGCGGACAGTTGTGGCTAAGATATTGGGTATTACAGAGGTGCATCCATGTGTCCAGTGAGAAGACTTTAAGAATCTGTTTGGGAATAATGAGAACATGAGCATTCTCCTCCCTACCTCTAGCACTCCCCTCCTGCTATTTGGGTATTGTGAATTTACCAAACACAGTGATTTAGGTCACTTTTATTATTTCAGAAATTCCAGATACCTTACTACTTATATAAAATAGCCCTTGAAAGGATGCTTACCATTAAATAATGTATAATACAAAGAAAAGACAAATGTATGTGATCTGTAGTGCACAGTTATAATACAATCTGAATACTACATTTAAATTTTTCACTCCACTTTCCAAGAAATAAAGCATTGATTCTAAATATATTATCTATTTGTCAAAACAAATAGAAACTATCTAGTGTTTCATTTATAAAAGAAATTAATTAATGGTGTCTCTAAGTTAATTTTTTACTTCTTTTCCCCATATCATTTTTATATTATATGAGAGCATATTTTTCTACTCTACCCTGGAATTAATAAACAAAAAATAAGGTATGATAAGAAAACTTCAAATATAAACATAACCAAACTAAAATAACACCTTTTTTCTTCTATTTACTTTATTTCTTGAACTCAGTGATGTAATATGTCTTCATCTGCCTCTGAGAATACACTTAAAACTACAGAAGCAAATTAACATTTTCCCAATTCACATGTAGTGCAATATTTAAGATTTCATCTAATTGAACACGTGTTGGATCAAATTTATAATACTAAAAGCACTCTTCTACATACTGCAATGTCTAGATGGAAGACAAGCTAGTCAGGTGGCAGAGTGAACATCATTCTGGTAGGCCTTTTCAAGCTGTCACTTGCAAGATGTTTGGACTGCTGAGAATGTTAGCCATAATTAATTGCAGAGATAGGAGGCTGCAAATGGGTGAGGTAATGTTCAAATGCATGGAATGATGACTAGTCATAGTAAAAGATAATAGATGTGGCCACATTGCTTTGAGAAAATTTAGAGAATATTTTGGGTCACAATGATACATTTCTGCATTATTTGTGGAATGTTTTCAATGTAATTACATCACACAGGTAGACTTCCAGATCCTGTGTCTAACTTACTTTCCTTGGCTCTGTGGGAGAACACATATTCTAATGAAGTTCATTTTAAGGCAAATATTTCTTGAAAATACAAAACTGATAGATATATGTATGCAGGTTTCCTTCTTATACGTCTTTTATAAACAATGAAGTTGTATTTCTCCTTTAGTGTTTAATGTGTTTCATCAGATAATGCCCTAGAAGTTTTATCAAATTTTTCTGTCTACCATTTGAAGATGTATGAGAGGGAAAAAATGCAGTCTGCCTGCTTCACTAACAAAAGTAGGACAAAGGCCATCACAACTGAAATATGTGAAACACTTGGTTTTATGAATTTCAAGCATTTTATATCTCTACATTTGGACTCGAGTAAAGACATTTCATAGAAAAACTGAAATATTTTTATTTGTTTATTTTTTAATCTTGATAACCTGCAATAGTTTACAGCCAGAATGGCAGCTTTTATATATGTACACTCATTTAAATACAGTTTCATACCGTAAATAGCCATGGGGCAAAATATCTGCCTCTAGGCACAAAAAAAAAAATCTTTGCCGCTAAATAAACACCTTTAAGTGATACTGCAAAGAATAGATATGAGGTAATTTTTTACCTAAATGACTCTGGCCTGTATTAAGACATATTCACTGTAACAATTCAAGTTTTAAAATCCTTGTTTTGTAACTCAAAAATATATCTTTTTTACAAAACACATCTTTACATTTATTGCTATTGTACATTTATTTGGCAGGAAACAGGGATGTTTGATGTCTTGCAATGATAAAGCGATCGTATTCAATAGAAAATTGTCTCACATTCTGCAAGACTTTTGAACATTCTATAAGACAATTACATAAGTGAAAAACAAATTTGTAGATATTTGAGTACAACCATTTAATATATGAATAAAAGCAGTTCAGAACATTTTAATGTACACTGCATTTTCTGACAGTAAGATTTTAGGTTAAAATAAGATTATACTTCAAAAAGTGTACCATTTTGAAAAAAAAATCATATCACTGCTGGCAATGCCATTTTCATACTAGTCCAACATATTGCTTATCCATCTGTGTTTGTTTGATTTTACTGTTATTACTTTATGATAATGCTAAAGTACATACATACACACACACACACACACCTAAGGTGTGCAGGCTTTCATCCAAGCTTACTGGTATTAATTAAAAATCAACCAGAGGTAGGGAAAAATAAAACTTATTCAAAAATACTATTGCAATAGGGAGAATATTCCAAACTCAATCTACAGGTGTCTCAGGATCAAACAGGAAAAGGCTTTCCTTTTCTAGGGAAGGACAAGCAGGGCTGGCAGAAGCCTCCTTGGAGAGAAGAACAGGCAGTGGGGTGAGCAGGTGGCAAAACCAGGATGCTCCAATAAAAATAGTTTCTCTGGGAGTCCCGCTCATTTTTGGAGTGAGCTGTTAGCGGGCTGGTCTGTCCTTTAGTGCTTGTTCAGTCTTAGGTGGTGAGCCAAGGTCCAGGGGCCTGAGGAGAGGAGACAAGACTGTCTGAAGTTTGATAAAATCAAGTCAATGGGTAGTTATGAGTAATTGTGAGCAATTGGTCAGCTTTGGGCTCAGCACACACCCCACCTTATGTTGTTTACCACAAACAAAACTTGTCCCTAAAAATTTTTAGGAATGGCATCAGATATAGCGAAGGTTTGCAAACTGATTTTCAGGGTTGGGCTGGTCTTCATGTGTTTGTTAACCTTGAGGACTAGGTATATCATTTGTTAAGTGTGTTATTGGACTGACAGCTGCTCTCTATGAAAAGTAGAATAATCATTGAATATAATAAAAAGAATAATTATTGAAGGTTGGATAAAGAGGTCCGCGGAGCGATGGGCGAGTACGCGGGTGCCACACGCTCCTCGCCTTCTGCTGCCTGCAACTGGTGGCAGCGCTGGAGCAGCAGATCTTTGACTTCCAGGGCGCCTACCAGTGAGCTCCCACCCTAGCCAATTTCCTGCGCCTCGTGGTGCTCACCCTGGGCATCGTGGGCACCGCAGTGTGGCTGACGCTCCGGGCTGGCCTGAGTGCGTTTATCACCTGCTTCTACCCGAAGGCTGGACCCAATATCCCCAGACCGCGACTTCCCCACAGCGTCCAAATGCCCCTGTACCGATCCAGGGATGGAGAATCGCCGGGCAGCGGGCGACTCCGGTTCTGAGCTTCCCCTGGCCATGGGGCGCTGCCGTGCAGTCTTGTCCCTGGCTGCCTGCTGCACTGTCCCTGCAAAGAAGCCCTCAGCAGCGCCCGCAGATCCTCCTGGTGCTGCTCCGCTTCCTGTTCGCCAGCTATGGGAGCAAAGTCTTCCTGAAGGAGGAGGCAGCTTTGACTTCATCAGCGGCTTCCACTCCTAGGGATGCCAGGCGCCCCAGAAGACGTCACGTTGACACCAGCAGCCTCTATGCGCTTCGGGTAGCCCTGCCCCGCCTGCCCTGGCCCTGTGCCCTTGGCGCTGGACTGACCTCGGCAGCCGCGATCTTGGTCAGGACCAGCAGGCACAGCCCTGGGGGCTCGGGACCCACTGCAGCCTGTGAAGGCCCCATGGCTCTGCACACAGAGAGGCGGAGCAGCAGACTTTGGGACTTGGCCCCTCACAACCAGGACTTCAGAGAGGATTGGGGCGGGTAAGGGAGGGGCCACGGAGTCCGCATTTTAAAAAAATTCAGACTTAGTGTGAGCTGGAGCTTTTCTCCCTTCTCCAGCCTCTTCCTTTCACCCTTCACCCAGCATCCCGCCCCTGTCCAGAGAGAAACAGCAGGAGGGCTTGCCCTTTCTATCTCACCGCACTCACTCCCCAGCCTGAGGAAAGCCGGGGGAACTAGGGGCAGGAGTTCTGGTTTCTCATCTCAGGTCCATCAGACTCTGGGTGACAGCTAGCAGAGCCCTAGCCCTCTCGGTGCCTCAGTTTCCCCACCTTGCCATTAAAAGAGTCCCTTGGTAGGTGAGCTCTTCTAGCCTTCTCATATAACTCTGAATTCTGTGGGCTGGGGTGGGATTATAAATCCCATTTTGCAGATGTAGAAACTGAGGCCAAGAGAAATGAAATGGTTTGAGGCCACACTGCTAGATTTTGGTGGAAGCAGGCCTTGAACGCAGCGGACTTTCTGTAGTTTCAGCCTCTAAAACCCAGTGTCCTCTCTGAGTTCCATTTTCAGGCCCCTCACTACATTCACACATCACTGCTTGCCAAGACCTCTCCTCAACCACCATCTTATCAAAGGTGACAAGAGTCACCTTTGCTCCAGTTCCCAGCAAGTTCCTCATCTCCATCAGAGACTGCCTCAGCATGGATTTCATTGTCCATATCATTATCAGCATTTTGGTCAAAGCCATTCAACAAGTCTCTTGGAATTTCAAACTTTCCCACATTTTCCTGTCTTCTGAGACCTGCAAATTGTTCAACCTCTGCCAGTTACCCAGCTCCAAAGTAGCTGGGATTACAGGCACACACCACCACACCCGGCTGATTTTTGTATTTTTAGTTTCATCATGTTGGCCAGGCTGGTCTTGAACTCTCGACCTCAGGTGACCCTCCCCCCTTGGCCTCTCAAAGTGCTGGGATTACAGGTGTGAGCCATTGCGCCTGGCTGCTGCTCCTTTTTTTTTTTGTGATGGACCTGGGAGATCTTTAGGAATGAGGGAAATGATCCTTTCTTTGAATAAGGCAGAATACTAAAGACTAGCCAGCCCTCAGGCTCATGGTGGTTGCTGCTATTCTGTTGAATGTGAACCATAGCCTTTAGAAAGGAGCAAGTCTTTGTGGAATACACAGGATTTGAAGTGCAACAAAGGGGTGGAAACCCAGCTGACCATGATACCTTCAAGTGAGTTTTTCCACTGAATTTGATTATTTTCCCATTTGGCACTTCTTTCTGGGTTTTTTAAGCAGCCCAAAAACTCTAGGTGATTTTACTTTTGTAATTGTATTCTCTTGGGAATGCTCATTCCTGATTCCTCGTTTCACCAAATAGGTGTGGAACCTGCTTGTTTCTGCCTATAATAATTCTGGAGTCTTTAAACAAAACGACTGTGACTTTTCATGATGAGTAGAAGATAGATTTTACTCATGCTACAATCAATATTAATTCCTTGCAGTTCAAAGACACTGAGGCCTTGTCTAATAATATAGAAGTTGAACTTGGACTTGGGAGATGACTCCTGCCTCTCGTCCTCTCTGTGGCTCTGCTTTCTATTATTTTACTCATAAGCTTGTTTTGTCTCCTTGCTGAGAATTGTCAAACATGAAATGTAATTTCAGGCTATAGTGAAGAAAGATGACGTAGGCAGAAGAAATTGGCAATCATTTGGCCTGTACGTGTTGCTTTTTGTTTTTTTTTCTGGACTTAGGATATAGACCACACCTTGACATTTCTGGCCTTTGAGTCTTTCACAACTGTGATTATAATACATTAGCTCTTCTAGAAGTTAGAAGTGACTTTGGATTAAGTCTTTCATAAGGTGGCTAAATGAATTTATATGGCTCATCACAATTCACTAGATTGGATAAGCAGGAAGTTTACAGAGATTTTTTTCTTTGCTGTAAATGTTTTTCTAAATTGAAAAACTTCTATTACTGTCTTCTGGAGTACTAGAAATAAGTGCAAGTGATTGTTTTTGGCAGGAGGCCACATAAACATTTCTGCTTCTCTGTGCCTTATGGGTAGCATTGATATACATTGTTAAAAATAATGATTGTAGATAGATAATGTATCAGAATTTGGGCTCACCTGCGGTAGCTGCTGTTGACCCAGAGGGACCACTGGGATCCTCACATCTCAGGGCAGCACATCGTTTGCAGCAATGGTTGGTTCTACGCAACCTTTTATGAAATTAGGTGAGGCCCTTGCTTAGAATTTTTTAAAAGCTTAATATGAGTTTATATCTCTTTAAATATCAGTTTCTAATATTTTTTTAAAGGCCTATGTTTACAACAAATTTAGGAGATACCTTTATGCACTACTAACTAGTGTTCTTTTGTGGTGCTTTAGAAATTCTGGCTTACTTGTATTTTTGCTGGCCTTCTAATGATTTCACTCATCAATCAGAAGATATTTGTGTCCACCTCCCTGCTTCCTCTCCGGTGATCTTGTCTATTCTTGGCCATTTTAGAGTTGACTTAGCAGCCTTCACAAAACTGATTGGAATTTCCACTGGGATTAAATTGATAGGTCATTTTTGGGAGAACTTTGCAATATTGAACTTTCCAATCCATGAACTTTACTTATCTGCCCATTTATTATGTTTGTTTTTGGTAGATTACAAAATTATATGATCACTCCAAAAATTACCTTACCCTTTATAGTAAAACCTTCCATTGTAAACTTCTGGCAATAACTGATCTGTGTTCCTCTGGCATTGCTTTTTTTTCAGAATTTTATACAAATGGAATCGTTCAGGATGTAGCCTTTTGAGTCTGGCTACTTTCATATACTGCATCAACAGTTATTCCTTTTAATTGCCAAATAGTAATCCATTGTATAAATACTACATGGTTTGCTTATTGGTTTGTCATTGGAGGAATATGGACTATTTTCACTTTTTGATAAATTATAAGTGGATTGGAATTCACAAAGTGCTTTTTGTCTGAGCATAGGTTTTCATTTCACTTGTGCAAATGCCTAAGGGTAGGATTGCCGAGTCACATGGTCCATGTACGTTTGACTTTATCAGAACCTGCCAAATTGTCTTCCAAAGTGCTGTGCCACTTCTGTTTCTTTAATAAATACAGGGGTATTCAAGCTGTCTGTTTCTTCTTGAGTTTCGGTAGTCTGTCTTTCAAGGAATTGATCTATTTCACCTAATTTGTAGAATTTAGAAGCATATAGTTGTTTGTTTTGTTTTTGTAGTGTCCATTCTAGCCTTCTAGTGTCTACAGGATTTGTAATAATATTCCTTTCATTTCTGGTATTGGTAATTTGTGTTTTATCTTCTTCCTTTGTCAGTCTGCTAGAGGCTTCCTCATTTGATTGACTTCCACCTCCCACCGCCCTTGCAAAGAACCAACTTTGGATTTCGTTGAATTTTTTTCCTTTACTGTTTTTGTTTAAATATTACTGATTTAGTCTGTTTTTCTTATGCCTGATTTGAGTTTATTTGGTTCTTTTTTTACTTAAAGTAAATGCTTACATTATTGATTTGATGCTTCATTTCTCATAATTTAGTGCCATAAATTGCCCTGTAAGCACATATTTTGATAAGATGATGTCATATTTATTAAGTTCAAACTGTTTTCCAATTTGTCTTAAGATACTCTCTTTGACCTATGGGCCATTTAGAAGTATGCCATTTAACTTCTCATATTTGGGGATGTTCTAGAAATGTTCTAGATTCCTAGTTTAATTCTGTCATCAGAGAAAATAATTCACTGAATTTTAATTGTTTAACTTTAGGGTTTGTTTTATGACCCAGAATATGATCTCTCACCACCACCATCCAGATAATTCTTCAGGTTTTGACGTTTCCCAACCTGTCTGCTGGTTACTTTTCAGAGTACTTGGGTCATTGCTATTTATATTTTGTCCAGAGTTTCAAATTGTGATCAGTGGAAATGACAGGCCGTAGCATGCATACGCCATCCTGGCCAGCATCACAGGCGGTCAGCATATCTTTCTGTTGTTGTTTTGAGACAGGGTCTCACTCTGTTGCCCAGGCTGGAGCACAGTGGCATGATCAGGGATCACTGCATTCTCAACCTGCTAGGCTCAAGTGATCCTCCCACCTCAGCCTCCCGAATAGCTGGGTCTATAGGTGTGCTGCCATGCCCAGCTAATTTTTGTATTTTTTATAAAGACGTGATTTTGCCTTGTTGCCCAGGCTGGTCTCAAACTCCTGAGCTCAGGCCATCCTCTCACTCGGGCCTCCCAAAATACTAGGATTATAGGCATGACCACCACACCTGGCCAGTACATCTTAAAAATAATTGCTGATCCACGTTGAATAATGATGGCCTGTAAATATTTTCTCTTGCACTTGCCTTGTTGGGTTTTGATATCAAGGTTATTTTTATTTTAACCTTGTAAAATGAACTCGGGAGTCTTCTTTTTTTATTCTCTGTGTTGGTGGCAGAGTTTTTTTTGTTGTTGTTGTTTGGTTGGTTGGTTTGTTTCTCTTGTATGTTTCATGGAACTTTTTGGTGAAGGCACTTGGGCCTGGAAATTTCTTTATGGGAAGTTTTTTCATTACTGATTCAATATATTTAATCTATGTAAGTTTTTTTTCTACTTTTTGAGTCAATTTTGATTTTTTTCCTAGAAATTCATATCTCACCAAGTATGGTGGCTTATGCTTGTAATCCCAGCACTTTGGGAGGCTCAGGTGGGAGGACCACTTGACTACAGTAGTTCAAGACCAGCCTGGGCAATATAGTGAGACTCCATCTCTACAAAAAAAATAAAAATTAGCTTGGTGTGGTGGTGGGTGCCTGTAGTGTGAGCTACTTGGGATGCTGAGGTGGGAGGATCATTTGAGCCTGGAAGGTCGAGACTGCAGTGAGCTGTGATTGTGCCTTCTTCCTTCCCCCTCCTCCTCCTTTTTACTTTTCTTCCTCTTCCTTTCTCTTCTTCTTTCTCTCCTTCATTATCCCTTTCGCTGTTTCTCTTTCTCCCTTTCTCTTTTTTCTTTTCTTTCAATTTTCTCAATTACTAAGAGATGTTTAAGTACCCTTAGCATGTTAGTAGATACGGTTATTTCTCCCTTTAGTTCTCTTTTGAGATTTATAGTCACTCAAATAAAGAGATAACCCAAACATAAGCGTCACAAACAGGCTTTCATACCATTCTTAATTTGGTCCTGTAATTCTTCATTGCTGTATTAATTTTCTGATGCTTTTAAGGATGTTTTATAACAAATTGTGTAGCTTTTTCCAATGGAATGTTTATTCTGAATTATCTAATTCATATTGTAAGTATAGAGGGAGTTTAATATAAAATTATTAAACTAATATTTGTGAAAGAATGTATTTGTGCATTTAACAAATATGTTAATCCTCAGACTGTTATTGGGCAGCTCAGCATACAGGAATAAAAATAACACAATTTTTATGTGTACAATATTTATGGAATACGTTACTGGACCCAATAAATAATTTAGTTAATAACATGACAAAGAACAGAAATTGTATACACCATAGAGCATAGTAATGGAATAATGAATGATTAAAGTTATTAATATTAGGTAGAAAGTGAAGGGTATCTTTGAGAGCAGAATTCAAGGAAGCAAGCAATTCGCCTTATCAGGAAAGAGTTACCTGTGGATAAAGGAGAAACTGAAAAATTTACAAGTCAAGACTTTTTGAGCAAAAACAAAAATATGACTATTAGTCACCAATTCAGTACAGTGAAAAAAATGTTGAAGAGATATCTTGGAAGTAAACCATGTTGTGGAAGAGCATGTAGGGTTTTGATAATCATGGGATGATTCTGAATTAATTTTAAATGCGATAGGAATATATGAGATAATTTCACCAGAGAATAATATGATTGTGTTTGCATTTCAAAGGGGTGTATCTGGTGCACTGTGTAGAATAAATAGGTTATGTGAGCAAATAAATTGGGAGGCTACTCTAATCCAGTGAAAAAAGGTAGTGACTTAGGTGAGAATGCTGTCAGCATGAGTGATAGTAGTGGTGAGAAGTCGTTAGGCCATGGATGTATTTCATAGGACTGGCCAAGAGAACTGCAGCTAAATTGGAGTGTAGGGAGTGAAATAGAGAACTCAAAGATGACTCTCAGCAATGGAAGGTGACAGCTGTCACTGAAGCATGCTGATGCCTCTTCTTAAGAGAGTTACTTGGGAATGGCAAGATCAAAACTTCTCACTTTCAAATTTATGAAAAATATTGTTTTCAGAACGAGTGACTTTGGGATCAGAAAGCAACCATTCTAATTGATGGTTCCACGACTACACGGGCTCACACTCGCAAGAGCAAAAGTAAATCATCACAAAGGTGCTTCTTGATAATTCTAGAGAATGGAGAATTACTGTAACATCTTTCTGATTTTAGGAGAGGTAGCAGTTCCCTTTTTAGCCTAAACGCTATTTCTTTTTAAAGCTCAGCCAAGAGACTCCATTATAATTTTCAAATGTGTGTAACTTAAATTCTCATATGAAATACCACTATGCTTAAATTAGTCAAAACATTTTCCCCATCTACAACTCTATCTTGTCATTGTAATCATTTTCACAAAAGTGACTGCAGCTCTCAGACCCTAAAAAGAGAAAATCCAGGGTAGTTTATCTGATCTAGTTAGTTTCGAAGACAGGATCTAGAGATTATTTAATACGAAATGGGTCACCTGAAATGAAGTGTTTACTGAAAACAGCTTGGATCAGCCCAGTTTTCTACCACTGAACCATGCATTTGGTTTAAAAAACACAACAACTCTGCGGAATATCGGCTGCTTCCAACTGTGTTGAAGGTGTTAAAGAAAAGAGCATAAAATTAAAAATGATCATCTGAGGCCTTTATAGTCTCTGCTCAAGAGACTAGAGTTTTCCATTCTTAACGAAACACCCAAATATCTTAATAATTGGGCAAAATCTAAATATCAGAGATAATTTTATCTTGAAGATTGTTAAATTATAACGGTGATTCACTAGCTTGCCACGTCTCTGAGTCAAAAATTAGGTCTTTGTTTAGGAATCAATCATAATCTGCAATTTGGAAATAGGAAGATTTTAGAAGACTCAGACATTGACTTTCTTGTGTGCAAAAAAAAAGACGTATTGAGATAAGACAAGTCTTTCCTTGCAAGGATACCTCTAATGCTCATACACCACCTCCCCTAACATTAATAGAGCTTCCAGGTCACTAACCAGTGTCAGAGAGCAGCCCACGCAACCAGAAATTCAAAAGATGTCGAACATAGGGTCAAGCTTAGAATAAGACGTCTTAGCTAATTAAGTATGCTTTTTTCCCGAAATTCATATTAACAAAATCTTGGATATGTCAGAGAATGCATTCTAAGTTCACTCAACCTAGGAGGGAGAAACATAATTTTAAATTAAGAGCTGAAGCATTCTTGTCCTAACACAAAGCAAGGAAAACGAAATATCACACCACAGGAGGGATTTCACAAATTTGCGTCAACATCAAAACCTTAAAATAGGCAAGGAGAATGCAGATTCACAATGAACTCTTGTACTTGTTTTGTTCAGAGAAGAGACGGTTCTGAGAGAATGACAGTGAACTAACCCCAGCTGGGTTTAGTTGGTGCTTTCAACTACTGCTTCTGATCAACTCCTTTAGCTAGAATAAATTGATGAGGATTTTGGCATGTGGTATTAGAGATGGTTATTAATTTTTTCCTCTTATTTGCATTGTTCAATATAGTAAATACTAGCTGTATATGGCTACTTCAATTCAAATTAATTACAATGAAATATACTTAAATATTGAATTTCTTAGTCACTCTTGGTTCATTATTGAATATCTTCAGCTAAGATTTCCCAACTAAAGACACTAAGAGGTGGCTTAGTTAACTGGTCATCCACAAATATTGAAGCTGCTGTTAACTCCTGATATATTCTCTGCAAGGAGAATACTCATAAGCCTCCTCCTGAAATCAGCAGCCTAGAGATAGTTTTATAAACTGGATACAAGTTGGAAATCTATATACTCTTTAAGTGTTTGAAATATTAGCTTTCCAGGGAAGAAAATCAAATTCATAAGATATGCTAGGACAATTTAACTCAAGATGTTCAAAACTGAAATGACATATTCTACAACATGTGATAAAACCACCCCCTAACAACTTAAAGCAAAACAGGGGTGGACCTTAAAGACCTGCCTTTTCCTCATCCCCCAGCCAATCAGTTTTCAAATCTTGCATTTTATTTTGAAAGGTCCCTATCCCCCTGGTCTCTTGTTTCTAGACTTGGCACATATTTAAGTTTGTTACCTCTCTCTACTGACTTTTCTCTCTTCAAACAGTATCTATGCCTGCCAAATGTGAACGTACAAGAAACAAATCAGAATGTGCCATTCTGATTTAAACTGCTTATTAGTTAATACCCTCAAGATAACATCTGGGTTCTTAGCTTCAATGAGTCAAGCCTACTTACATCTTTTTGTCTTTGGCTGCACATTTCCTATCACATCGCACTCCAGCAATGCCAAGCTGTGCCGGCCTTCCACTCCATCTCCATTATTTCGCCCTCCGCCGCCGCCGCGGCTTTTTGCCCCCCCGCCGCCGCGGCTTATTCCCCCCATCCCGCCTAGGCTTTTTGCCCGCCGCGCCTTTTTGTCCCCGCCGCCGCGACTTTTTGCCCGCAGCGGCTTTTTACCCCCGCCGCCGTGGCTTTTTGCCCCATCGCCGCTGCGGCTTTCTGCCCCCACCCGCCGCTGCGGCTTTTTGCCCCACCGCCGCCGCGGCTTTGTGCCCCCCCGGCGCCAGGGCTTTTAGTCCGCCCCGGCTTTTTGACCCCTCGCCGTTGCGAATTTTGTCGCCGCGGCTTTTTGCCCGCCCCCCGCCGCTGCGGCTTTTTGCCCCCCGCCGCCTTTTGCCCCCCGCCGCCTTTTGCACCCCGCCGCTTTTGGCATCCCCGCAGCTTTTTGCCCCCTCGCCGCCGCGGCTTTTTCCCGCCGTGGATTTTTCCCCCCTGCCCCCGCGACTTTTCACCCGCCGCGGCTTTTTGCCCCCACGCCGCCTCGGCTTTTTGCCCGCCGCGGCTTTTTGCCCCCACCCCACCTCGGCTTGTTGCCCGCCTCGGCTTTTTACCCCCCGCCGCCGCAGCTTTTTCCCCGCCGCGGCTTTTTGCCCCCACCCTGCCTCGGCTTTTTGCCAGCCGCGGCTTTTTACCCCGCCGCTTTTCGCACCCCGCCGCCGCGGCTTTTTCCCCGCCGTGGCTTTTCCCCCCTGCCCCCGCGGCCTTTTACCCGCCACAGCTTTTTGCCCCCCGCCGCCGCGGCTTTTTGCCCCCACCCCGCCTCGGCTTCTTGCCCGCCGCGGCTTTTTACCCCGCGCCGCCGCGGCTTTTTGCCCGCCGCGGCTTTGTGCCCCCCTCGCCGCCGCGGCTTTTTGCCCGCCGCGGCTTTCTGCCACACACCCGCCGCCGCGGCTTTTTGCCCCTCTGCCGCCGCGGCTTTTTGCCCCACCGCCGACACAGCTTTTTGCACACTCGCCACCTTGGCTTTTTGCCGCCGCGGCTTTCTGCCCCCTCGCTGCCGCGGCTTTTTGCCCCTCCGCCACCGCCGCTGCTTTTTGCCCCACCGCCGCCGTGGCTTTTTGCCCGCCGCGGCTTTTTGCCATCGCGGCTTTTTACTCGCCACGGCCTTTTACCCGCCGCGGCTTTTTGCGCCCCGCTGTCACGGCTTTTTGTCCCCCTGCCGCAGCGACTTTTTCGCCGCCGCGGCGTTTTGCCCCCGCCGCCGAGGATTTTTGTCCCCGCCGCCACGGCTCTGAGGGCGGGAGCGGCAGACTCGGCTGCCAGCTCTACTGGCGTCCTGGCAAGGGCAGCGCTGAGGGGTGCTCCTGGTCCAGCTCTCCTGGCTCAGGGATTCCTTGCCTAGGCGCCGGCGCCCCAGGCTCCTTGCCTAGGCCCCTGTGGCCTGCATAGAGTGGCGCTGCCTGTGGAGGCGATGGGAGAGAAGAAGGAGGGCGGTGGTGGGGGTGATGTGGCGGACACGGAGGGTGGCACAGGGGCTGCGGCCAGCCGGGCGCTGCAGCAGTGCGGGCAGCTCCAGAAGCTCATCGTCATCTTCATTGGCAGCCTGTGCGGGCTGTGCACCAAGTGCGCTGTGTCCAACGACCTCACCCAGCAGGAGATACAGACCCCGGAGGTAAGGGGTTCGGGGACCCGGGCTGGGCTCCAGGAGCGGCCCGGACACCTCCTTCGGGGCCCCAGTTCACTCCTGGCCGAGTTGCATCTTTGAGCCCACGTCACCCCCTTGGAGGCTTCCCCTCCCTCCTGCACTCGCTGATGCGGCAGCCAGAGGACCCAGGACCAGCCCTCACCTTGGGCAGGATTTGTGGAGCGGGTGCGTGGTGGGAACTGGGATGGAGGCTCCAGGGTCCCGTGGGGGTGGGGGTGGGCTGCGTGAGGACATCCCCTTACCCCCTGAATTTCCATCTGGTCCAGCCCTCTCATCTTGTAGGTGAGGAAACCGAAGGCCTGAGGGAGAAATGACTTGCCAGGAACCCCTGTTAAGGAAAATTAACAAAGTGTGGTTATTAAAGAAGAACTGAGTTGGGAGTCAGACCTGGAGGCCCGCACCCGTGGTTAAGACATTATACCACCTTGAGTCTGGCCTGTTGACTGAGGGTGAGCCACTCCATCCTCATGTGATTGTGGGGTCTTAACCTCAAGGGGTTTCCTGCAGGAAGAAGCAAATGGGTTTGCTTTCCTAGCTCTGTCCAGTACGTTAGGGACCCTGAGGACTGAAGAGATTCTTGGAGAGCCATCTGGTGTATGTCATGGGTGGGTCTTTTTGGAAGGTCAGACTGCCCAGTGGGCTGGCTCAGCCCAAATGAACTGTCTTGAATCTTTGGAGTTGTCTGTGTACTTTTAAGGGCTTCTCAGCCTTGCACCAAAAGATCCCCCTGGAAATTAGGTGGGAAAAACCTTAACTTTTGTGGGGCCTTGTGTTTGTCTTAAAAGTTCATGCACATAGCCAGGTGTGGTGGCTCCCACCTGTTATCCTTTCCTGGATCCCTTGAGTCAAGGAGTTTGAGACCAACCTGGACAATATAGTGAGACCCCATCTCTACAAAAAATAAAATATTAGCCAGGGGTGGTTGTGCGCATCTGTAGTCCCAGCTACTACTGTGGCTGAGGCGGGAGGAGCACTTGATCCTGCACTGAGCTCTGATCTCACCAGTGTACTCCAGCCTGGGCCGCAGAGCAAGACCGTGACTCAAAAAAAAAAAAAAAAAAAAAAAAAAGACAAGAAAAATTCTTCAAGATTTTGCATTCTGTCCCACTACCCATTGGTTTTCATGTCAAGATAATGTCAGAAATTCTTTACAATTGCTTCCAGAAGGAGTAGCCTTTTGATCTGGTGCACAGGTGTCCAGTCTTTTGGCTTCTCAGGGCCACATTGGAAGAAGAATGCTCCTGGGCCGCACATAAAATACACTAATGCTAACAACAGCTGATGGGGTTAAAAAAAAAAAAGTTTTGTGCATAATTTTCATGCTACCCACCACCACAGATAGGTGGAAAAGTCCTTGTAGGCAAAGGGTTGGACACGGCTGATCTAGTGTCTTGTCGTCCGTTTTGGCTTTCTCCCTGATTCCAGAATGCAGGTAGAGATGTAGAGACATGCTCTCAGGACAGCTGTTGAGATAAAAAAATTCGTTGTCATTTATTCCCAAGCACAGCTGTTTCTCATTGCATTGAAAAAGTCTCCATTCAAACTGCTGTCACATATAAAATCTATTTATGTAAGTCTGTATTTTTCTGTTGTCTTGGCCTTTGTAGGCAGTAGTGTGTTTTAACCGAGCAAACTGTCCTTCCAAATAATGAAGCCGAAGTCAGCCTACCTACTTGCCATTTTTCTTCCCCTTCCATTTTTGTAACCTCAGAATAATTGTAAGAATGAATTAAGATTTGTGTTTAAGGCCAGGCACAGTGTCTCAGGCCTGCAATCTCAGCACTTTGGGAGGCGGAGACGGTTGTATCGCTTGAGCTCAGGAGTTGAAGACCAGCCTGGGCAACATACTGAGACTCCGTCTTGTATAATTTAATTAAAATTGAAAAAAAGAAGAGAAAAAGACCTGTGTTTAAAATTTAAAAAAAGGGGGGGAAAGTGTAATGCAAAATGTGGACTATGCCAGCTATGATTGGGAAAACTAGTTTTTCATACAGCATTATCTGTAGACTTGTATTAGCAGCATACTGGTCATAAGCGTTTTGCTTTCCTCAAATATGATGAGGCAAGCTAATTTAAAGTGTGTTGGGGCTTTCTGCCGCGTGGCTCCTGGAGGTGTTGAGTCCCAATTTAGCCAATTAATTTAGGTTTAGTTTTGACGTGGATAAGGGAGACCAGCTTCATTCATGGTGTACACACAGTTTTGCGAATAAGGAAAAAAAAAAAAGCCACCTGAATGTTCCTACTCATTAGATGCTATCTGGAGAGCTCCTACCCCACCCTCACCAAGGCCCGGGCCATTAAAAAGACTCAATGCAGCCTTTCTGTATCTCATACTGTATTCTGCAAGATACTCCTCTGAAAGAAAGTTGTGCTGCATCAGCCATCTCCCTCCTGAAGATCCCTGCGGATGAAGATTTGTGTTTTGAAAGTTCTGAGAATTCCTGCAACAACAATTCTCAAACTTATTTGTCCATGGGATCTTCTCTTCCACTGAATGTAGTTGGGGAGACACAGCCTTAAGCCTTGAGCAGAGAAAGAGACAAGAAACTGTCGGCTCACTTACAACCAAGTGTTGTGTTTATGTTTTAGGTTTTTATGAAACTGAGGTGCTGTTTGAGGTTTTAAATGAAATTGGGTGGTTGAGGAGAGGCTGCTATCCCTGTAGACTTAGCCAGCCATGAGAAGTTGCCTTTTGTTGAAGGAGGTGTTTTAGAAAGGGAAATAGGGTGTCTCCTGGGCATCGCATTAGCAATTAAATACATGTATCACTGAAATGAAATGAAATGATGAAATGATGAAATGAAATGATGAAATGATGAAATGAAACGAAATGATGAAATGAAGAAATGAAATAATGAGATGAAATGATGATGAAATGAAATGAAATGATGAAATGGAATGATGAAAAATGAAATGATGACATAAAATGGTGAAATGAAATGAAATGAAATAATGAAGTGAAATGAAATGATGAAATGATGAAATGAAATGAAAACATGAAATGATGAATTGAGGAAATGTATGAAATGATGAAATGAAATGAAATGAAGTGAATGATGAAATGACGAAAAAATGAAATTAAATGATGAATTGATGAAATGATGAGATGAAAAGGTGAAAAGAAACGAAATGATTAAATGAAATGATGAGATGAAAAGGTGAAAAGAAACGAAATGATTAAATGAAATGAGGAGACGAAAAGATGAAATGAAATGATGAGATGAAATGAAATGATGTGATGAAATGATGAGATGAAGTGAAATGATGAAATGAAATGATGAGATGAAATGAAATAATGCAATGAAAGATGATATGATGAGATGAAGTGAAATGATGAAATGATGAAATGTGATGAAATGGAATGATGAAATGAAATGATGAAATGAAATTGTGAAATGAAATGAGGAAATGAAATGGAATGATGAAATGAAATGAAAAGATCAAACGGTGAAGTGAAGAAATGATATGAAATGATGAAATGAAATGAAATGAGGAAATGAAGTTAAATGATTAAATGATGAAATAATGAAATGAAATGAAATGATGAAATGATGAATTGATGAAATGATCAAATGAAATGACGAGATGAAAAGATGAAATGAAATGATGAAATGTAATGACGAGATGAAAAGATGAAATGAGATGAAATCATGAGATGAAATGAAATCATGAGATGATGAAATGATGAGATGAAGTGAAATGATGAAATGATGAGATGAAATGAAATGATGAAATGAAATGAAATGTTGAGATGAAATGATGAAATGAAATGAAAGAATGAAATGAAATGATGAAATGAGATGAAATGAAATCATGAGATGAAATGATGAAATGATGAGATGAAATGAAATGATGAAATGATGAAATGTAATGAAATGATGAAATGGAATGATGAAATGAAATGATGAAATGAAATGGTGAAATGAAATGAGGAAATGAAATGAAATGATGAAATGAAATGAAGTGAAATGATGAAATGATGAAATGATGAAATGAAATGAGAAGATCAAATGGTGAAATGAAGAAATGATATGAAATGATGAAATGAAATGAAGTGATGAAATGAAGTTGAATGATTAAATGATGAAATAATGAAATGAAATGATGAAATGATGAATTGATGAAATGATCAAATGAAATGAGATGAAAAGATGAGATGAAATGAAATGATGAAATGAAATGACGAGATGAAAAGATGAAATGAGATGAAATGAAATCGTGAGATGATGAAATGATGAGATGAAGTGAAATGATGAAATGATGAAATGTGATGAAATGGAATGATGAAATGAAATGATGAAATGAAATTGTGAAATGAAATGAGGAAATGAAATGGAATGATGAAATGAAATGAAAAGATCAAATGGTGAAGTGAAGAAATGATATGAAATGATGAAATGAAATGAAATGAGGAAATGAAGTTAAATGATTAAATGATGAAATAATGAAATGAAATGAAATGATGAAATGATGAATTGATGAAATGATCAAATGAAATGACGAGATGAAAAGATGAAATGAAATGATGAAATGTAATGACGAGATGAAAAGATGAAATGAGATGAAATGATGAGATGAAATGAAATCATGAGATGATGAAATGATAAGATGAAGTGAAATGATGAAATGATGAGATGAAATGAAATGATGAAATGAAATGAAATGTTGAGATGAAATGATGAAATGAAATGAAAGAATGAAGTGAAATGATGAAATGAGATGAAATGAAATCATGAGATGAAATGATGAAATGATGAGATGAAGTGAAATGATGAAATGATGAAATGTAATGAAATGATGAAATGGAATGATGAAATGAAATGAGGAAATGAAATGGTGAAATGAAATGAGGAAATGAAATGATGAAATGAAATGAAGTGAAATGATGAAATGATGAAATGAAATGAGAAGATCAAATGGTGAAATGAAGAAATGATATGAAATGATGAAATGAAATGAAGTGATGAAATGAAGTTAAATGATTAAATGATGAAATAATGAAATGAAATGATGAAATGATGAATTGATGAAATGATCAATGAAATGAGATGAAAAGATGAGATGAAATGAAATGATGAAATGAAATGACGAGATGAAAAGATGAAACGAGATGAAATGAGATGAAATCGTGAGATGATGAAATGATGAGATGAAGTGAAATGATGAATGATGGAATGACAAAATGCAACAATGAGAAGAAATTATGAAATGAAATAATGAAATGAAAGGATGAAATGATGAGATGAAATGATGAAAGGATGAAATGAAATGATGAAATGAGGAAATGAAAAGATGAAATGAAATGAATAAGTGAAATGATGAAATGATTGAATGAAAACATGAAATGATGAAATGATATGAAATGATGAAATGATGACATGAAGTCAAATGATGCAATGATGAAATAAATGAAATGAAATGATGAAATGATGACATGAAGTCAAATGATGCAATGATGAAATAAATGAAATGAAATGATGAAATGAAATGAGATGAAATGATGAAATGATGAGATGAAAAGATGAAATGAAATGATGAGATGAAATGAAATGAGATGAAATGAAATGAGATGAAATGAAATCATGAGATGAAAAGATGAAATGAGATAAAGTGAAATGACGAAATGAAATGTCGAGATGAAGTGATGAAATGAAATGATGAAATGAAACAATGAAATGAAGTGAAATGAAATGAGATGAAATGATGAGATGAAATGATGAATTGATGAAATGAAATGAGATGAAAAGATGAAATGAAATGATGAAATGATGAGATGAAAAGATGAAATGATGAGATGAAATGAAATGATGAGATGAAATGAAATGGTGAGATGAAATGAAATGATGAGATGAAATGATGAGATGAAGTGAAATGATGAAATGAAATGTTGAGATGAAATGATGAAATGAAATGAAAGAATGAAATGAAATGATAAAATGAGATGAAATGATAAGATGAAATGATGAAATGGAAGGATGAAATGAAATGATGAAATGAGGAAATGAGATGAAATGATGAAATGATGAAATGAAAGGATGAAATGAGGAAATGAGATGAAATGATGAAATGATGAAATGAAAGGATGAAATGAGGAAATGAAATGAAATGATGAAAAGAAATGAAATAATGAAATGAAATGATGTAATAGATGAACCAAAAATTCTTATTCACTTTTTTTCTGGGCATCTTTCTAAGAGTATTTTAGTGAGGTTAATTTCTAAATATAAATTGCTATTCAATGGCTATACAGTTGGCCTTTGCACCACAGGGGTTTGAACTGTGCACGTCCACTTAGCAAAACCAACAATTCTACATCCTTATCCACATCCTGCCCATGAGAAAGATGAGGATGAAGACCTGTTTGATCATCTACTTCCATTTAATAACTAGTAAATCTATTTTCCTTATGATTTTCTTTTTTCTTTTCTCTGGCATGTTTGTTAAGAATACAGTATATAAGACATATAACATATTAAATATGTGTTAATTGACTGTGTTATTTGTCAGGCTTACAGTAGGCTATTAGTAGTTAAGTTTTGGGGGAGTCAAAGTTATAGTGTATTTTCTACCGTGCAGGTGGTCCAGCACCCCAACCTCCGTGTTGCTTAAGGGTCAACCGTACGTGTTATTTCCTTTCCTGTAAGAGAAAAATGATGAGAAGGTCTTTTCTCCAATAAGTGTCTTCAAAATGTAGCAGATTTGAAATGTGTTGGCGCCACCATTTTGCGTCTCACTTTGAAAACTTATTATTTAAAATCGTACTAAAGCCTACCTTACTTTTCCAACCTTAGAAAAAATGTTCCAAAGAAAAGGGGCGAAACCATGCTAGTTTGCCCTGAAATTTGAAATTACCTTTTAAAAATATATTTTGACATTAATTACTTCCAAACTAGAGATCAGTTGCATACAAATGGCAGGTCACCCTAATCCACCCTATGACTGCACTTAGATTCATGAGGGATTGTGCCATCTAGAAAGGGCAGAGAGGAGGAATAGAGTGCTCTGCGTCTTGAAATATAAACATGCACATAGCCACATGCTTTGATTCTGTTGTCACTGTGTACTTACTGCTAGGAAGAGGGCATGTTTGTGTATTTTTATGCTAATTATTATCCAAGTTGTTAATGATTTACGCTTTCAGAACCATATAAAGATTTTTTTCCTTTCAGATATAAACTATCTTGCATTGTTCTTCTGATCATATGAGGGATAAATTTGCCTAAATATTCTTCAGACCATAATAGTATGTCCATATAAATGCCAGTAGCAAGAGTAGAATCAACCACAACTGCCTTAGTAATTATTTAAAGCATGTCTGCCTATAAGTAATTGGCATTTTATATAATCAAGAATCTTTGATATAATAATCTCTCAACTATTTGAAACACGGCTCACATGTATTAATTTTTTAAGCAAATATATATATAATATCAGTGTATATGAAACTGAATTTTGGACTTTAGAACAGCTTCTTAGAATCCTGACTTAAATGTCTACAGTAATAGTTGGCTTAAAAAAATTTAGCACACTGTCACTATGATGAAAAAAATTACTATAAAATATTTAAAAATTTTTTCCACCCTAACATTTAGAATATTCTCACATTTGTGGTTAAAACCTATTGTGATTGTTCTTAGAATTTAGATAAAAAATGTCCCAGAAAGATTGAAGAGAAGCACTTTAGTCAATTTTTAGTTGTTGAAGCATGAAGAAATGGCATTTCATTGACATTTTAAAAATTATTCAGATTCCCTCTTTGAATTCAAGAATTTCAAAGATATCTTATTTTAAAATACCAAAATAGGAATAGAATATGAAGGGCTGGTTATGAGTAATATGATACAATTTTATGAGATGATGAGATTACAATAACAATACCTCCTCTCATAGAATAGCCAGCAAGTCTCCACTAAATAACAGTGCCTTGATTTTATAGATGTTTCATCATGGATATTGAGTTAATGTGAACCATTTGTAGACACAGGAGTTTATTAAAGACTTATATAATATCTTTCAAGTATTTAGAATAGTGTTGAAATTAAGCCTGCATCCCCACGATTTTCAGCGGTGCTGATGCCTAATAAACTCAACCCCTTGCATGCCAAAATTGGCTTAAAGCCCATCTGTTACCCAAGCTACACTTCAAGCATCGAGGTTCAAAAATGTGATTTTGAATATGCAAGAGTTTGAGGAATTCACTACTCACACTTTCTTGAACAGTCTATCCAAGTGCATCAAGCAAAATGTGAGTAAAGAAATTTTGAGCAAAGGATTGATAGTAATGTTGAATACATTTAATAGTAGATCAAAGATTAAAAGGTGAAAGTGAGGGTGAGAAGAGTGTATGAATGCTTTGTGTTCTGACAAAGAGAATGTAGCACCCAGGTCCTACCTGCTTGGATGCATTGCCAGTGCCCACGGTAGGCCATTTTATCCAGGTTTTTAGGTATTGTCTTATTTTGTTTGGTTTTTTTCTTTTCAGGAGTGTTAGTCCAAGACCAATAACTCCGTAACTGGTAGATTTGGAAGACTTTAATAGTGCTTAACATTTTGTACATAGCTTTATAACAGTTTTCTTTTTCTTTTTTTCTGAGAGATTCTTTTCAATATACCCCATCATGGTTGAACTCAAAAATCATTGCTTATTTAAAATCTACAACTGCTGACGTTTTGTAACGTTCGCATTCCAGGTAATTGCTTTTTTGTGCATTTTCTGTATTTTTCTCCATCAGTCTACCTAGATATTTGTTAGATTTAATATTTTAATATTTTTCTGAAAAAGTGAGCTTTTGCATTTTTAAATATATACCCAGTTGCTTTAATTCTGCTTTTTCGTGTACTATTTCCTCGTTTTTTTCTTTCTTGTTTTTTGGGTTTTTTTTTCTGACACGGAGTCTTGCTCTGTCGCCCAAGCTGGAGTGCAGTCGCGTGATCTCTACTCACTGCAACTTCCACCCCCCACGTTCAAGCAATTCTCCCACCTCAGCCTCCCGAGTAGCTGGGGTTACAGATGCATGCCACCATGCCAGGCTAATTTTTGTATATTTAGTAGAGAGTGGGTTTCACCATGTTAGACCAGGCTGGTCTCGAACTCCTGACCTCAGGTGACCCACCTGCCTCGGCCTCCCAAAGTGCTGGGATTACAGGCGTGAACAATGGCGCCTGGCTATCTCCTTCATTCTTTATGTTTATTTTACTGCTTTTATCTCTCTCTCTCTCACTGTTTCTCTCCTTCTCACATTCACTTTGCAGTTGTCAAATAGCCCAGGTGATGTTACAGATTTACTCCTTATAAAAGGAGGCATTACACATTACACATGCATCTTAGTGGCCTCACAAAAGTGTTTGGTTTATTTGTAGTGACTATTCACCTTTAAAATATTTCAATATTCAATAAAATGGCTTCCAACCAATATTATTACACTTATGTTTCTAACTTTCGTTTTTGTATTGATATCTGCCTTCATTGCTGTTTGTTTAGGACATATATTCTGTGTCACGTTATTTCCGTGAAAATTGTTTGAATTTGTGGTATGGTCTAGAAAATGTTAATTTTTGTAAGTATTCTGTATGAACATGAAAATAACATGAATTATAATATTCAAGTTCCTTATATAATATTTGCCCGTTTTAAAATCCACTAGCTTCTTTTAAAACTTACTCTTTTAATTTTTTCTTTTATCTATTACTGAAAGACGTGTGTTTGAAATGTCTATAATATTTGGGGGCTTATCCATTTCTACTTACTTTCTGATATTTTTGCTTTATATAATTTGACTCTCTCTCTAAATACGTGTGTGTCTGTGTGTGTGAGAGAGAGTGTGTGGTTTGTGTGTATATATATATGTATGTATCAGGCTAATACACATTGAAGTCATCACATCTTCTTAATAACTTAAAACTTTTATCACACTGGTTACACTAACTTATTTTAATAAATGTTTCTAACTTACATTCTATTTGGTCTACATAGCAACTTTTTAAAAAATTATATTCATGTAGTATGTTTGTATGTATATCATATATACACAGTATCTGTATTGTTTGAACTTCAAAGTTTCTGTAAATTTATATATTAGTTGTGTCTCTTGTAACTATGATAGAGACGGATGTTTTAAATTTTGCCAATCTTTGTATTTTAACAAAAACATTGTCTACTTAGGTTTAAGTTAATCTTTGATCATTTATACTTAATTTTGTATTAGTAATTTGTTGTGTATATATATATATATATATATAATGTCTCATTTTCTCCTATCACTTTCTGTCTTCTTGTTTTAAAATTATGACTTTTATTTTTATTGTTTTCATAGATACAACAGAGAAATGCATAATGTCCAGTCAATTTATTAAAGTTCCAAAGTCGGTCGCGCGCAGTGGCTCACGCCTGTAATCTCAACACTTCGGGAGGCCGAGGCGTGTGGATCACGAGGTCAGGAGTTGGAGACTAGCCTGATCAACATGGTGAAACCCCGTCTCTACTAAAAATACAAAAATTAGCCAGGCAGGGTGGCACGCGGCTGTAATCCCCGCTACTCAGGAGGCTGAGGCAGGAGAATTGCTTGAACCTGGGAGGCAGAGGTTGCAGTGAGCAGAGATGACGCCACCATACTCCAGCCTGGGAGAAAGGGTGAATGAGACTCCTTCTCAAAAAAAAAAAAAAAAAAGAGTTGCAAAGTCATACCTTTCTGCTCTTGTCAGACAATTAAGGGGTCTTTGAATACTTCAGCCCTAATAATTTGCTTCCTAACATACATATTGCAGTGCTTATCTAATTTTAAATATTCTTTTGTTTCAACACCTAATTTTCTATTTTGATCTATCTTTATGTTTACAATATATTTTGCTCTGTGTTCATTCTTTGATTTCAGAACTTCAATCTTTCTGAAGCGTGTTTTCAGAGTTTCCTTTGAGTTTCTTTAGTGGAATTCTGCTGGTGGTGTTTTGTTTTTTGTCTCTAAATATGTGATTTAGCCATAGGTTGATGAATATTTTTCTTGGTTGAGAATTTCAGAATGGCATTATTATTCTTAACAAATAATATTGTTTATTTTACATTTCATGCTTTCAGATTTCAATATGATTAAAGGTAATTTGATTTTTCTAGTGCTAATTGAAATATTTTTCCCTTCCTGATTGTTTACTATTTCTCTAGGAGATATGTAGATGTAGGTTTATCTCCATCGTAGCTTGCTTAGCATGCATAGAAGTTTTGAATATGTGGATTAGTGTCTTACAAAACTCTGGAGAACTTTCAGCCAAAATACCATCACATATTGTCCCTTCCCCGTTCCCTTCCTCTATGAGAACACACACTAAACACATGCTACACTTTCTCACTGTATCTTCCATGTCTCTTCATGATTCTGTCCACATTGTGCCTTTTTTTAAATTTTCTGTAATGCATTCTGAAATATTTATGAGCTCTCACCATGGCCATGTCTAAACTGATGAGTTCATTTTTGAGTTTTTAATTTAAAATACTATATACAAACTACTTTTCAAATTTACTACATCAACTTTTTAGTCTCCTAAAAATATATTCCTTTTTTTAAATTTTTTGAAAGCAAATGTGCTTTATAATCTAACAGTGATATTTCTACTAATGAACCTCTGTGGATCTGTTTGTACTCTTTTTCTGCTTTCCTTTCAAATGGTGGAATATCATTTCCTTGCGTACTTAGATGCCTTTGAATGACAAAGATTTATTTTTCTCTGAAAATTATTATTGTGCACTTTTGCATATTAGTAAGAAGAAAATTTGCCAAAGAGAATTTGAATTTTTTGTGAGTCTACTAAAGGCACCACCATTCTGGGACCACATTATATTAATTCTTGGCCTAAAGGTGTTTGGACGTATGTTTGGACAGCACATTTAAACAATTTTTAAATTAATTGCTGTAAATCATTAATGATTGAGTTTCTTTAAATCTGTCCAATCTCAAGTCATTTTTATTTGCCATTTCCAGGGAATGTGAAATGAGACTAATTTACCTCTGATTCTTCTTTATACTGAGGAGATAAATTTTGGTGCTAGCTTTAGGGAAGAGCTCCTGTGTGATGCCCTATCTTGGGAAACACTATGTATTTCTTTACTGTCCTATGTGATGTATGACCATAGGAATCTGCACTCATTCATTTTGCTACATGTCCGTAGGGCAAAATCAGTATCAGTGTTTAGGTGTATTTTGTCTGCTCCCTGCATTCCCATGGTTTTGACCTTATCTTTTACTTTTTTTTGTGAACATACCAATGCTTCAATTTTTTTCCAGTAATATAATCAACCATACTATAAGAGAAAAATTTCGATAAAACACAAATTTCATGTTTTCCTACTCTAATTGGCTTTTACGTAAAAATACAGGTAAAATTTATTTGTGCTTTTTTGCTATTTCTGTTTTGCTATTTTCTGTTTGTCTATGTCTTCACCACATAGACACAATTAGGGAATTTTGTACACTCTTGTGCCAACTGCTTTGATAGTAACAAAATGTATTTCTCGAACTCCTAGGTATAAAACTCAAGTATCCACTATTTAAATTCTTTTTTGCTCACTTCTAGTATGTTTCCAGTCTCAATAGAAATCGATGCCAATCCAGAAATACAAGCATTATTCTAATACTTCTCACACATTACTGGTATGGATGACATTTTCTAGATCTCCTTAAATACTATCATTTTTCACTACTTGTATCTTAACTGTTAAGTTCAACATTTTCTGTAATATTAATATATTGTGAAAATTTCCTTTCTTTCTTATTTGTCCCAGGTTCAATGTTTTGCAGTCTCTACCTCACCCTGTGAAGCATAAACATTGTACATGCTGTACAAATAATACATCGTTCATGTACTTAGAGATTGCACAATTTTTATTTGGTTGACAATAGCTAATGTTTTCTTCTTCATTTTCTATTTCCTGATTTTTCTTTATTTAGTATATACTACACTGCCATAAAAATAAGAACGTTTTACAAACTAAAGCAAAAGGAACCCTAGGAATAAAATGCACAAATAAAATATATAAACATACGTTTAGGTGTACCACGTACACTTGTAATTTATTTAGACTTTTAATTTTAGTACAATTTTAATTAAAGTCTGTGTATTATCTGTCATCGTCTTAGTATTTTTTATATAACAAATTGTGTAAATCAAAAAGTATCAATGTCATTGTAAACTATCTTGGCAGAGGTTGATCTCCAAGGAATAATTTCTCTCCTAAATTATGCCAATCCAAATTTCACTCTACCGTCATTCTTTTCATCAGTTTCAGAGGAATAATAAATTTCAAAATTGTTCAAGGTACTTCTTTTAGTTCAAGTAACATTTGACAGGTGTAAAACTGTAGACAGACTGATACAAACGTATTCTAATTGACTCAAAATTATATGGGACCTATTTTAAAATCTAGATTTTAAAATGTCGTGTCAACATACACATGTTCTCCTTGTGAAATAATTGTTTTTTATTCTCTGGATAGAATAATTTAATCTTTAAACCTTCCATTCACTCTTAGAAACAATATATTACATAAGGATATGCTTATAAAAATAATTCCCAACTAGCTTTTCAGTTCAGAAATATATGTGAAGAATCATCAAACATCTAATGGATTTCAAGGAGAAATGGGTTAGTAATTTATTCCATATGTCTCAATTTTTCCTAGACTCAAGGCTTCCTTTAAAATAATTGTAGGCATTTAAGAAACCATGCAAACTAAAAAGAAGAAACTGTGACGCTGCCGCTTAGGCTTTTTAAGTCTTTGGACATGATTCAATATATTTTTTAAATTGTATCTTAATTAGACATTGTGAGTTCACCATCTTCCTGTCAATACAGCATCCAAGCTGATTATCATAGATTACAAGTTCAACTATCAACTGTGTTCTGAGAGTCTAAAAAAATAAATGAACGTATTTGTTTGGGTATTCTTAAAGCAGGAGTGAGGACACAGCGAAAGTGAGACAAGGAAAAGAGAACAAAATAAAACAGGAAAGACAGAAAAGCCAATACCACACGTGTTAAGAGGTAAGTTCCTGTGTTAGATATCTGGGCTTAATTTTATGGGAAGCTATGTGGAGCATGCCTCAGAATTACATCACTGAATCCAGGGAGATTCTTCTTAGTTACCCTCACCTTTTCTTCCCACTTCATGCCCAGTAACAAGCTCCCGTGCTGCTAGAGAAAGTCCTCAGCTAGAAACTGGTGCAAATTCTGGAGATGAGACCTTGTAGAGTGTTAAGAATGGTTTTCTTCCCAGCAGCTACAGCTAAGGAATAGGGGCTGGGCTATGAATACATCTGCTACAAACCAATAAAGCCCTTATGCTCCTTTTGGTGATCGACAATGTATTTAAAAATATTAGATGATCAAGAAGGGCTGCAGAAAGGAGGAAACAGAAACAAACAGCACACCTCTTGGTTTATTTTTTTTCATTTCATCAGTTTCAAGGAAAATATGTTGGGAGTTCCTGGCATAGAGAATGTCACAAAGACATGTTTTCAATAGTAGTGCTATCCCGAGGGCAGAGAAGACCCAGAGAAAGCCCAAGTGGCTGCTGGAACAAAATCAGACACCGTGCCACCTGTCCACACTCCTTGGCTCTGCCATCATGCTGAAGATCGCTTTAAAGGACTGGCTTCCCTCCCCCCAAAATTAAAAGAGCACAGACTGAGAAACTGAATGTGGGAGACAGCAGTGGATTATGCTGTTCTCAGGGGTCACCTCAGGTTTGGAAGCATTCTTTCAAATTAACCCATCTCAGGCCATCTGCAGAGAAGAAAGGTGGTACCTAACTTTTTTTCTTGTCGGCATTTGGTAGGGGTGTTTTATTGACCAAATATGTTCCCACAACCTCGTTTTTTGTGACTAACTAAATATAGTAGAGTTTTAAATTTTATCATCAAAATCTATAGACAATTTTTGATGAAAATAGACTCCATCTCTATGTCCTGCTTTTCTTCTTCTTATTAATTACATTGCTGTATAAAAGAACAAGACTTCAGCATCAAGAATATCTTGTCTCTTGGCATTGAATTTATACAAGGTGCTCTTTCTTTAATGCTGTCTCAAAGGACATATTTTTACTCATTAAAAAGGAAGATCGGAATCTAGTTGTATGCACTGCTCCAACATATTAATAATTAAAATTAGGAGGTAAATGTGGTCAAAGCTATAGAAAGACTGAGATGTCATTTACATCGATTACTCTATAGCACTCTACAAACAGAAATTGTTAAATAATAGTTTATATAAATATTTTGTAGCATTTCAAATATTTGAGTGCTTGAAGTTTCTCCTCTTCTATAGTTCAGATTATCAATTTGAAGACTTACTCCGCTAGTTAATATGTTTTTAGTCTCGTTTGAGTATTATATAAAAGCAATTTTCAGTTAAATGTGTTCCGCTTACATAAAACGTTACAAATTATTGAGGATTTAATTACTTATTCATGTTCCTGTAATGTCTTTAGAAGATTTTCTTATTATTACCTATCAATATATGTATGCTTTGTCAAAGAAAAATCAAACATATATATCATTGAAATTGAAACTTTTTAAAAGTACTTATTAATTCTATTGAAAAACCACATCCATAGGAACAATTACAATATAATATTGTGAACATGTAAACATATACCCTATGTCTATTTTATGTATAAGCATGTATGATTAAAAATATAGTGAAGAATTTTTAAACCTAGTATTATAAAGTAAAAATTAGTTAACTTCCGATGATTATTTGTTAATTAAGATAAAATTATTTTGATTTGGGTGATTTTAAATAAAGAAAAATATTAAATTACATGACAAAAATTCTTTATAAAATGTTTATGATTTTTACATTGGTTTTATCACTTTTCCCACTATTTTATTTTAAGATGACCTGCCTTGTTTAAAACACTGTATTCATCTTAGTTAAATTAGATTCCATTTGTAAAATAATTAACAAATGATTTGCTCTATTGTACAGTGCGGTTATAAACTGAGTCAGTATCTCAAGATTTGATCCCCATTATCATCATCTGTGGCCCTATTTGTTTTATAAATGTATTGTCTTTTTCCATGCCTGTCACATCTCTATTGCTCTTTCATTTTTCTCTTTGTCCCTTATAGGGAGCATTGCCTATCTCTAGATTAAGCAAAAGTTGCATCATAAAAAAGCACAATAACCTGCTCAATCTTTCTCACACAGAGAAATGTTTGTTAAGTAATTAAAGTGTAGATGTTGATACAAAGAGCTTGATTAAATTAGATGCCAAAGTACCCTTGTGATTCAGAATATGAATGGTATTTAATTTCTTTGAAATCATTAATTGCTGAGTGAGATTAATTAATGCCAATATTCCAGAAGATGTTCTACTTAGTGAAATGTATACAACGAAAAGCACAATAACCTGCTCAATCTTTCTCACACAAAGAAATGTTTGTTAAGTAATTAAACTGTAGATGATGATACAAAGAGCTTGATTAAATTAGGTGCCAAAGTACCCTTGTGATTCAGAATATGAATGGTATTTAATTTCTTTGAAATCATTAATTGCTGAGTGAGATTAATTAATGCCAATATTCCAGAAGATGTTCCAGTCAGTGAAATGTATACAACGTGCAAAAGATTCAGAACTCTGAAGGGCAACATTATTCTATAATTAAGAATTAAGAATTAATTCACATTAATTACTGGGGAGAAATAATTTTTAAGAATTAATGACTGAGAAAATGTTTTTATTTTTTATTTAGAAAATTATTTTGTGCATGAGCATTACCGCAAGTTTTGCAAGAAACATAAATTTAAAGAAACAATTATGTGCACAAGATGAATTTAATAACATCTTGATATATTCCACGATTGCGGTTTTATTTGGTAAATCTTTCAAGGCACACCATTTAAAGAGAATAAATGAGTCTTGGAAATCTTGTAGGTAAGGGTAAATATTAGGATGCATCCAGTTACATTTACACACACATACAGTTACATTTACACACACATACACGCATACAGACTGAGTCACGTGTGTGTATATATATATATGAATTTACCAATTGATGTTAACTAATATTTATAAGAGCCAGTTGGATTGATATATATTGTTGAACCTGAAAAATATTTATTATATGCATGTTTAAAATACACACAGAAATAAATAGCAATTGCACTAGGCATTTGAAACTGTACTAAAATATAAGCTGTGAACATTTTGTGATCATTACAAATTCTTACACTGAATAAATATTTTTATTTTTACAATATTAATATGTTTGATACCTGTGTATATTTTTTTACAATGTGTTATTTTATTTTTGTCATAGAGTCATGTCATGCATAATAACATTTTAGTCAAAGATGGATTACATATACAAAAGTGGTCCCATGAGTTTATAATAGATATTTTTACATACTTTTCTACGTTTAATTATGTTTAGATACATAACCTCTTACCACTGTGTTCTTATTGCCTGCAGTATTCAGTACAGTAATGTAGTACACAGATTTGTAGCCTGGGAGAAAGAGGCTATACCATATAACCTAAACGTGGTAGGCTGTACAATCTAGGTGTTTGTAATACTCTCTGTGATGTTTGCAAAATGGTAAAATTGCCTACGAATACATCTGTTAAAACGTATCCCTATCATTCAGTGATGTGTGACTGTACTAAAATGCTCAATGTAAGTTTCAATGCCCTCCATAAAATTGTTGTACTGTGAAATACAAATCTCTCACCCATGGCCTGAATATGTTTGCAAACTAAGCAGATCATGGGAAGGAGAATGTGCTGGCACCGCTGGGATGATTTTCTCACTCTACATGAATAATATCTACAGACTTCGTGAATATGAGCCACTTGCATAGAGTTAAAGTAGGCATCTCTTTGCTGGGAAAATTATCAAATGGGAGTATGAAGTGTTTTTACAAGATACTCGTTTGTTTGTAGCTGGTAGGCCTACAGTGGCTCTTGGTAATGGTTGAGGTTGCTAAGATTTGGTGGAAGAAGGCAAAATGAAATGGCCACTTATATGGTATATGGTATATGGATCACTTATTTCTGTTGAGTTACAAACTCAGCTGGCTATTTCTCCTATGTTAGTTATTTGGAGAAAAAAAAACGTGATGGTAATTTTGGGGTAACAAATACAATATTTGATGAAAGCAAATTTATTGAGGGTTAGACAAACTACAAGATACTTTAGGCTACAAAGTCAACACGAGAGTTCTGGCCCAAATTGTGCAGAGTTTGCGTCCAGCTGCACAGTTCAAAGGAAGAGGCCATGTAAGAAGATTCTCACTTCTGACACCAACTGCCAGTTCAGGGATTTCCCCTGAACACCCTCAGTTTCAAGAATTTACTAGAAAGACTCACAGAACTCATTGAATGCCATTGTACTCATGGTTTATAATAGAGAAAGGGTAGAAATTAGGACCAATAGAAGAGACATATCATATAAGGTGGAATCTAGGAGATTTTGAAGGTTAAGTTTCCATTGTCTTCAGGACATATTACCTGTCATTGTTGTACAGCAACAAACATGGAGTACTACCAACCTGGGGAGCTCACCTGATGCTAAGAAGACACTATTTACAAAATGAAAAGACAAAGGAAAGGATGAGATAAGATGACGTTCCACATTAAGGCACTGGAACGAATAGCAAACTAAACCTAAAGCAAGCAGAAGGAAGAAAATTAAAATTAGAGAAATTAATAATTTATAATAATAATATTTGTTAGTGTTGAATAATTGATATTAATTCTTGACTAGCTTTTTTAAAAAAGAGAAATATTCACTTTCCAATTTATTCTGTGGGGCCAGTGTTACTTTGATACAAAAATTAGTCCAAATAGCATAGAAAAATAAAACTACTATAAGTATAAATGCAAAATTCCTTAAAAAATACTAACAAATCAGATCTAGCAACATATAAAAGAATTATACACTATGACAAAGTGAAATTTATACAAGTAATCCCAGGTTGGTTTAACAGCCCAAAATCCATTAAGGTAATACATCTTATCCATAGAATAAGAAAAGAGAATTCATGATCATCTCGATAGATTCGGAAAACACATTTAACAGAATCCAAAAGCTTTAATGATTAAAAATAAAAATAAAAACTCAATGAACCAGGAATAGAGAACTTTCTACACCAGATACATGGCACCTGTGAAAAGCCAACAGCAAGCAGGCAACTTAATGGTAAAGGATGCTTTCCCGCTATGGTCAGAGATAAGAATAGGATATATACTTTGACCTCTTCTAGTCAACACTGTACTAAAGATTTTATGCAGGGCAAATCGGCAACTAAAATAATAAGAGTCACCCATAATGAACAGGAAGAAATAAAACTTTATTTGAAAATAACATTGTTGTATATAGAAAATTTTAAGGAATCCACCGAACGATAGAACTCGTAAATTATTTCAGCAATATTACAGCAGACAAGGTAAATGTACAAAAATCAATTACACACATCTTCAATGAAAACCCCAAAATGAATTTAAGAAAACACTTCAATTTAAAATAGCATAAAAAAAGAAATATTAATTAATTTGGAAAATGTGATACAAGATTTTACTCTGAAAATTAAAAATTATTGTTTAAAGAATATTTAAATAATTAGTAAACACCTTACACCCATGAATTGGACGATTTGATATTGTAGTACTTTACAATTTGAACTACAGATTTGATGAAATCCCTGCAAGTATCCCAACAGACTTGTGTCTAGAAACTGACAAGCTGATTCTAAAATACACATGAAATTGTAAGGGACTCAAAATAGCCAAAATAATCTTGAAGAAAGAAAACATATTAGGATAATTCACACCCCATGCTCCAAACCTTACTGCAAAGTATCAGTAATCAAGACAACACAATATTGATGAAGGAAAAATATATAGATTGATGGAAGAGAATTGAGAGTCCATATATAAAACTATGTGTCTACAGTCAATGGATTCTTAAAGTGGTGCCATGTGCAATTCAATGAGGAAGAGACAGTCTTTGAACACACTGGGTCAACAACGTACACGTGGATCACCACTTGCAAAATAATAAATTAGAACCCTTACCCCAAAGCATACAAAAATATTAACTCAAATGAATTAAAGACACACATGCAAGAGGTAGAATAAAGCATATGGGAAAATCTTCAGGATTTTGGATCTAGCAAAGAAATAGCTGTAACCCCAAAAACATGAGCAACAGAATAAAAATTAGATATTTAAAATTTCTTAAAAATTAAAGACATCGGTGTTTCAGAGGACAACCAAGCAAGTCAAAAGGCAGCTCCAAAATTGTGAGAAGATATTTGAAAAACACGTATCTATATGTCTGTATATATATATGTATCTTGAATATAGAAAAATTGGTTTAACTCCGTCACAAATATCCCAACTCAAAACTGATAAATGATAGGAATAGATGTGTTTCCCAAGAAGATACATGAACGGTCAATAATCACATAAAAATATACTCAACAGCATCACTCTTCAGGCAACTACAAATCAAAACCACAGTTAGATACTCTATGGCTAGAACTGGCCACTTTGGAAAATAATTTGATGGCTTCTAAATATATGAAACATAGAATTGTCATATGACCCAGAAATTTATTCCTAGGTATACACCCAGATTATTGGAAAGAGGTGTTCAAACACAAATTGTACACAAGTATTTTTAGCAGCAGTACCTAAAATAGCCAAAGGCTGAACACAACTCAAATGTCAATAAAAATACTATTGGATAAACAAAATGTTATATCCATGAAATTGAATGTTATAGAGTTATAAAAAGAAATAAAGTACCAATACGTACATGAACCTTGATAGCATTATGCCAACTGAACGAAGCCGGGCAGAAAAGGCCACCTATTGTACGATTCTATTTAGATGAAAACAGAATAGGAAAATCTATAGAGACAGAAAACAGATTTGTGGTTGCTTAGGATTGAGTAGGGGATGGGTGCATAGGAGGTTAACAGCTAGGGAAGGTGGGGTTTCTTTTTGAAGTGATGAAAATGCTCTAAAATTCATTGTGATGGTGGCTCCACTTATCTGTGCATATACTAAAAGCCACTGACTTGTAGACATTAATGTGTGCACTCTACACTATGTAAATTATATCTCAATAAATCCTTTCAAAAATACACAGAAGAGTAAGGGGTTTTGGAATGTTGCAGCTGGGATGCAGTTTGAAATACTGAATAGGCCTCATCGAGAATGTGAAGTTTCAGTAAAGACCTGAGGAAGTTGAATGAGCTGATCAATGGATATATGGAGGGCTATCTTTCCAAGCCAAAAAATTAACTAGAGTCTTGATCGTAAGGCAGCAGCATGTTGGTATGTCCAGAGGACAGTGAGGTGGCCAGGACCACTGGTAAGATCAAGGGTGAAGATATAAAAGAATTTTGGCGGTTAACATGAGGCAGATGATGATGGGCTTGCAGACCATTGTAAGAAATGTTGTTTTTAGTGTACATGAAATGGGGAGACAACTCATTATCCCATTATCAATATTTTAATAAATTGGATCCATGAACCAAATCCAATGAGATTAAATCAATTAATAATAATATGCAAATTTGTATTAAAATTACAAGAATTACTTGCACATTTGAGAACAGGAGAGACATGATTTTTATCAGCAATAATAAACATTATTAATTTTAATTGTGATCAGCTAATTGAGATTAATTGCAATACATCTTGATTTATAATGTGACTGTCAAAAGGAAAATATGATTGTAATCTTATACTACATCTATCAATGTCTTTTATTCATAAGAGTATAGAGTAAGCCCCTAGTTTTCAAAGCCAACCTATGAAGCAGTGACATCTTATGCAAGTTTGCTGCTTTCTGCCACAGTGATCTTTGGTCAGTGGGCACAAATTGTTTACAAAGGCCCCTAGGTCTAGAAATAGTTTGGATCACAATGAACACAGAAACACCTTCATCCCTTCAGAAATACCCATCAATTACTTCCAATACAGAATGAAAAACTGACAAAGGAAATATGTGGATTGTAAAAATGCCAGTTAGCTTGCAACTACATGAAAGAAAAATGCCATTTTTATTACATTAGGTCATTGTCTCACATGAGTTTTGGTATAGCAAAATGTTGAACCAAGGGAAAAGAGAGATGAATTAATGAAGTCTTAAGATATCAAGAATTTGAAAGAAAAGGCAGGTCATCTTTGAAGGTTAGTGACATAGCATTCATCTTCTGTTGTCACCTTTCCCGTCATTCCCTGTATGCCTGACGGACAGGTTACACTCAAGTTCAGAGAACAGCATGCAAAATTAGCTACCAATTAATCTTTAGGAAGTGAGCTGCATTTCTAGCCAGACTGAGCTTACGTTTTAGCAGGAAGCATTTTTGGGAAATGTTTATGTTAGACTTTGCTCTTCTTGACAAGGTGAGACATAAACGTCTACTTTATAGACATGAATTGAGATGGGAAGATATTTGGGGGAATCATTTACTCAAACGCTAAATAATAAAGGTACACAAAGGGCAAATTATACTAGATTTCTTTCCCACTTGTTTTCTATGTCTCATGCAATTCACCTTGATTCCCTTCAGTTTCTGTTTAATGTAGAAAGTGGCATTTTCATTATTTTAAGCTTCTAGCACAATGAAAGAATTTCTCTTTTTCATGAACAGGATCATACATGAAAAGGAGGAAGAGTGTCCTATATCATATTTATTGTTCAACAAAACACTGCTCCACGGCTTAAATTCAGTTTAAAAAAGAGAATTTGTTGAACATCTAACACATACATAAAAGGCAGTAAAGACACATGAGAAGAGGGCAGGATATTGAAGTATACAGACTTCAATGCTGAGTTTTATATCTTAGGAAGTTACTCCACCTGACAGAAGCTCAATTTCCCCTGATTTAGGAAGGCGATGCTAATGGGTATTGCATAGGTGTAAGTATAAAAATGTTGTATTTAAGAGAAACCCACAAGCTTGGTATAAGGCAGAAAATAAATAGATGCGACATGAATAAGTAGTTTATTACATTTGTATGCTGCCTGCGGACTAGAGGAAGCAAGAAACACAGCCACTATGCTTGATTAGCATTATAGAGATGGTACGATGATGGTTGCCAGAAGCTGGGGGGAGGAGGAAATGGGGAAGTATTGTTTAATGGGTATAGAGTTTCAGTTTTACAAGATGAAACGAATTATGGAGATGGATGGTAGGGACGGCTGGACAATGTTATGACTATATTTAGTACCACTGAACTGTACACTTAAAATGGTTAACAGAGTACATTTTATGTTATGTGTATTTTACCACAATAAAAAAATAAAATACCTTAGGAACATTTTCATGAAAAAGCCCACATAAAATTCATTTTAATGCACGTGTTTATGCATAGCTTTCTATTTTTCTCTTTTCTCTTTATATTCCAAATTCTAATCAGAGAAGGGAATCCCCTCTGTACCTCCAGGATATTCAGTAAAGACCACTGGAGGTCCATGCCCTAGTGACAGTGCTCATTTAGCTCCAAATTACAGATGGCTCTAGACTAACTCAACAAAGTTTAAAGAGAAGATTTAAAACAACAGACAAATACTCATCCTGAAGTTACTGAACTGCCTGTCACAACATTATTCAAAGGTAGCCAATAAAATCTAGATATTCAATAGCATAACATCAAAATACCCAAAAAAAAAAACTCTGAAATGCAAAGAAGCTGTAAGACATATATAATTAAAATATATATTAACAGGATAAAAATAAGTCATTTATAAATGACAGACAAGAAGGAAATTTCAAGATCCTTAAAGTAAATATATTTTATAAATACATATAGATAAATACATATATATGTCAAGGTACTTAAATGAAAATTAAATATAGGAGAAAAATAAAAGTTATAAAATGAAAAATGTGACATATATAGATGAAAAATAAATACTTGAAATAAAAATTCCATGAGATAGAATAAGTAATGGATTTTACCCTAACATCAGAACATTTATAGAACAAATTGGAAGCATTACAAACTAAAGGACAAACGGTAAACTGAAATAAGAAAACCAGAAACTCACTCATAGGTCAGACAATGTGCATCAGTGTAACATACATGTAGTCAATATCTCAAAAAGGATGGGTGGGGTAATCATAGGTGAATAAGGAATGGTACACTCATTCCTGAGGGCACCGAGGAGGGAGGATAGCTTTAGATTTCTAAGGGAGAGTTTTATCCATTCATGAAGGTCCAACCCCATGACCAAACACCTCCCAGTGAGCCCCACCTGCAACATTGGGGATCAAATTTTAACATGAGATTGGAAGGGGCAAGCATTCAAACCATAGCAAGAGTTAAATTTCCTTTTTAAAAAATTCACTGATATGATTCCATTTCGCCATAGATAAAAACTAGTATTTCAGCCTACCATTGAGTGTGCTTATAGCTCACCAAAAGGGCACTCAGTCTCGGGAATACAGATTTGCATAGAGGTATCCTATTGCAGTCAAAGAAAGAGCAATGAGGGATAGAAAAGGTTAGTGATGGAGACACCAGCGCTGCATTTTGCAACAAACAATGTAAAAACTTTATGGATTGGTTCTGTTAACTTACTTCAGTTTACATTCCTCTCAGGTGGGAGAATTGTTGCGTTTTTTCTTAAGATAGAAAAGCAATTCAGGTAATCTGAAATCTCCACAAGAAGGATAAGAAGCACAGCAGAAACTATTCTAGGCAGGAAGTCAATCCTTTCAACTGTCTGTGCTCCATAGAAACCATTGTCTGCACTGGGAGTCATATGAGGTACAGACAACAGCCAGACCTCTGATCCTCTCATTAGTGATTTCAGAAGAAATTACCAGTCAACTGAGTAACTCACTGAGTATAGTAAACATTTGGCACTGAAAGAGGTTAGATGAATAACTATTTGTATCACCATATTCATGAAGCTGGAATATGTTCCATTACTGGTATCACATCCGAATGGAAGATATTAAAAGGTCTCTCATCTTGTAAGATAGATATGAAAGAATATTTTCTGAGAAATGAAATTATTAACACACCTGCGAGGTGCATGGAAGAGAAAAAAAAGAATAATCACCTTGAGATCTTCTCCTTGATAAGAGAACTCACTAAAAACATAAAGAGAAAAATACAAGTTTAAAATAATTAACCAGAAGAAGATGACTCTAGAGATTTTAAATTGCTGATAAGATTTTAATTTGCTCCAAGTTGAAAATAATTATATTGCTTGTGTTTTAAGGCACATAATGAGCAATTATATCACACAGGATAGTTTCAGCAGTAAAATAGTATCCGTTAACAGCTGGAACTCATAAAAGCATAGCACAATGTGAAGATGGAATTTGCTAAAATAAACCATCTGCTGAAAACTGCTATTCTGCAAATTTAAAAATAAAGTTTAAATGTTATTTGTCTTATTTAATAGGTCTGTGAAAAAAATGCGCTATTTGGAAAGCAGCTGCTACCTTAATTCTTTATATTAGACGGCTGGTTACAATAATGCACAGTAAGGTGCTACATAGATATATTGCTAAATTTTCTGCATATACTATGTATTTGGCTTAAATTAATTGAAATTTTATTGTTAAAATAACAAATGTACATTTCAATGTTTTGACACAAATTGCAAATATACCTTTAAAAAGCGTCTTACACTCTAAATATTATTTGTCACCTATATATTTGTCTTTTCTCTATAGGAAAATTTAAATTTTTCCCTTGAAGCTTTAATTATTTGAGTCTATAAAACAAACTGATAATGTACAAATTAACAGGAAAAAAAGGTTTACAGATATGTGCACAAGTATGCACTTGGAGTTTACATAATATATATATTATATCTATACAAATATTTGTATATTATAAAGAGATATACAAATATATACTCTTTATATAAAAACTCCAGGAAAGGCAAGGTAGTCAACACGCCTATGCTGTCTTGAGGTTGCAGAAAACACAGAGCTGTAGGTTGGTAAATCAGGCTTTGTGGAAGACAGGTGACGACAAGGAAGAAAGAGGAGCCTGGCAGCAGAGGTGGTCTTGTTACATGGATGAAACCTCACAGGGAGCAGCCCTCCTCTTGGGAAGTATAGATAGGAAATGGCTTTTAGAAATGTAAACGTGCCAGGCTCAGTTAATCATTCCTATACCCAGACAAGGGAGTATCTCAGGGAAAGCCTGTCTATATCAATGCAGATTTTCTCTACAAATGCAAATCTCCCCAACAAACACAGCTTTTCAGCTATTCTTGTAGAAGAAGCTATCTCCAGTCTTCCGAGTAGCCATCGTGAAATATGTCAAAAAGCTGGCCAGGCGCATGCCTGTAATCCCAGCACTTTGGGAGGCTGAAGTGGGTAGATCACCTGAAGTCAGGAGTTGGAGACCAGCCTGACCAACATGGTGAAACGCCGTCTCTACTAAATACAAAAAATTAGCCGAGTGTGGTGGTGCATGCCTGTAATCTCAGCTACTTGGGAGGCCGAGCTAGGAGAATTACCTGACCCTGGGAGGCTGAAGTTGCAGTGAGCCAAGATTGTGCCATTGCACTCTAGCCTGGGCAATAAAAACAAAACTCCATCTCAAAAAAATAATGTATTTTAGGGTAATATTTTGAGTATCTTTACCTCCATATGTACAATAAAAATTATTGCGATTTTTAATCTTTTCTGTGGAGAAAACACAGGTGTGATTTCTAGTGTAGCTGAACATCGTTTATTTGACAGTATTGCACTTGTGTGTGGGTGTGTGCGTGTGTAGCTACTTTTTAATTTGGTTCTCACAAAATGATTAGATACTAACAATTAATTCAGTAAAATGTATGTTTTGCAATATTTCTCCATGTTATTATGCTTTAAATTAGTTTAATCATGCCCCTATAATGTGTACATTTTAACCTTTGACTATAGGTCTCAATCTTACTTTGGTTCCTGTATTTGAATTTATGCTAATAAAGTCCCACAGCTTAATAAGATTACATAAATTTTTTGTATAATTTTTACTAGCATTCTGATGTCATTTTAAATTATGTAATGAAATCAAATTTTAATTTGGATTATTGTTATCTGAGTTAAGGATATAAATTTTTAATTTTCTTATAAATATTACTTAATTATTTCTGAACCATACATTGACTAATCTGCCCTTTATATGATGTGTATTATAAGAGCTTAGGATTGTTTCATTTGCAAAGATGAATGCTTGAGAAGTAGATATTTAATCATAACATTTCAAAATCTACTGGATAACCTAGAATTGAAACATAGCCTATAGGTTGAAAAACTCCTGTAGTGAAGAAAGAAAATAACTAATATACAGTGACAATATAAATATTATAAGTATTTATTTTATTATCACCCTGAAATTTGATAATACAAACATGTAATATCTATATATCATCCATATATCAGGTCATAAAATATCAATACATTCTTCAAAAATTTAGCATAACAGAAAATGCACTCTCTCTCCTTGATGGAATTAAGTTACAAATAAAAGTAAAAATAAGTAGATAAGTAGATGGAAGTAGATGTTTAAGAACAAAGAAAAATATTTGTTTTGGATAACATAAAATCTCAATTGACAAATCCAATATTTCCAGAACTTTACCTGTCAACTGGTGGAGAGTTTTCCCCAGGAGACATTTGTCAATGTCTAGGGTTATCGTGGGGATGTCAAGACTGGTGGAGGTGTGAAATTTAGAGGTCAAACGAAACACCTATCATTGCTAGGGCAGCCTCCCACAACAAAGAATCCTCTGGTCCTAAAGGTAAGTAGCACCAAGGTTGAGAAACCATAATCTAGACAGGAAACACTACGTAGCTATTCCAAGTGCTCAGGAAAACACATCAGTGCTCTCGAGGGGAAAAGTGTAAACATTTTAATTGCTGTACATGGTGACACAAATCCATGTTGTTAATCTAAGTGGAAGGAGCTGAAGCACAAAATGTAATTCAAAGAGTTTACTTGAGCCACAGTGAGGACAGCTGCCTGGAAGAAACAGACCCAAATATCCTTGGATGTGAACTCCCTTTGGAGCTTTGCAACAAGCAGTTACTTAAAGGCAAAAAAGGGTCCAGAAGTGTGATGACGCAAAGAGGTTTGTCACAAATTCTCATTGGCTTATGGAAATAACATTTATTAGTGACTGGCTACACACTGTTACACTATTATGGGGTGTGGATTATAGTGTCTGGTGTGGCCTTATTGGTTAATTTATAGCTACTGTGGCAACAGCAAGCAGCCTAGATGAACACACAGCTCAAAGAGGAGCAGGACAGAACTGCTGTGTCATTTGAATATCTCTCTGGGCCTGATTATTTCAAAGGACTTGCATTTCTCACATGAAAGTTATTTTCTTTTCTCAATGTCCATAAATGAGAATAAATAGACATAAAATAGATCTTTTCGAGGATGAAGTAAATGGAATGAAAAACAAAACCCAAGCTGACCAGAAATCATAGAGGGAAGAAAAGGTTATAAATATATGGATTTTTCAAAGTGATTTTAAGCTATTAGGAATCAGTTAAATGTTGGGGGAATTGGTCTGAGAATAGGCTAAAGGAGAATGTCCCTTTTGTCTTCTGAAGTCTCCCTGAAAATCACTAATAGGAGGCAGATAAAGAGTAGAAAAGGCATGCAGGTTTCTGTAATGTGTGTACACTGGAACCCTTAGAACGAAGACCCAGTCACACGATGCGTGCAGAAGCTTATCTACCACATGAAGTTTACAGAAAAATGGGGTCTTGGATCACAGGGAAAAGAAAGAAAAAGGTTATGTGAGAAAACGACCCTGGCTAGCAACAGTGGACTTATTATATAGGTGGAACCTCACTGGGAGTAGTCCTCAGAGAGAATAGAAAGAAAATGTTTCTTTCAGACCTTTGGAGACTTAGCCTCTCAGTTAACCTTTCCTAGATCCAGACAAGGGGGCAGACCTCAGAGAAAACCTGGCTGCATCAGGGCAGATTCTCTACCGATGCAAATCTCCCCAAGACAGCTTTGCAGCTAACATTGCTTTTCCAGCCCTTCTCAATAGCCATTTTGAAATATATCAAGGAAATATATTTAGGGGTAAAATATATTAGTTTCCTTCATACAGCTATAAAACATACAGGAATAATTTTTGTCAATGTCTACTACAAATCCAATATAGCAGTAACTATGAAACCCACCAGATATTGATGAAAAAATATGTAGAGTACCTCAATTACAAATGTTGATACTAAAATGCCAAATAAAATACAAATAATATCCAACAATATTTGAAACAGTAAGACAAGAAATTGGCAAAAAAAAAAAAAAAAACAAATATCCACCTTCGGGATGAAAGTGTGTTTCCAAATTTGGTAATCCAGTAATATTAATAATCGTATTGATTAGCCCAAATTAAAAATAAATAGGGGATTCTCAGTACATGCTAAAATATGTTTGTTAAAAGGCAATATTCATGTCTTTAAAGGTTTTAAATGCTATAAAGAGTCTGATATTCTATATGCAAACATGTGTATGTCCATTAGAAGAAGAGAGGCCTGATTTTCATATGTTACTACATAGAGACAGAGAAGAGGATACATTAATTTGCATATGCATAGAGAAAGCATAAAACAGAAATTGACTATCATATTAAAGGAATTTTAATTCAACAATAAAATAATTCAAAGGTAAAATTTTAAATATTTTTATCAGGTACATTATTATTATTAGATGATATTTATAATAATTGTGAAAATATTCAGCACTAAAATAAGATACAATGTCTAAACATCAGTATTAAAACTAGTATAAATATTTACTTGTTTATACAAGCAAAATTCAAGCTCGACATAAATTTTATGGGAAATAAAAGAAAAATATTAAGGGAGCTCTTTAATGACATAAACATATATATATAAACACACACATATAACATGTATATATGTTATATGGGATAGATATAGATTTAACAGGCTATATCTATATTTGTATCTGTAACTACAGCTGTATGTATCCACATTTCTATGTATTTACTCAGTGATATAAATATAGACTGGAATAAATATAAAGACACATATGATTCTTGGATAAAAAGGATTTAGCATCATAAAGACAAATTCTTTCCAAATTCACTTATGAATTCACAACAATATACAGTTTCATTAGTATAATTTAATATTTCTAAATAAATTCCAAGATTCATTTAAAGGAATATACATGTATACAAGCAGTCAAGAAAGAAGCAAGAGGGCACTAAACTAACTTGCTATTAAAATACATTTTTAAACTTAGTCACTAAAACTGAGCAGTACTGATTTGGAGTACTGGAATTTAGGTGTATGGGATCTCAAAAGCACAGAGCTCAAAGGAGACCCCTGTATGCACGAGAGCTTAGGATGTGCTTTAGAAGGCATTACCAAACCACGGGCAAAGTTACCTTAGTGTCTTAGTCTTACTAGGCTTGAAAAGCCAGAGAACAGACTCAGGACCACCATATAAGAGCAAAACAAAAGGACAGGGAGAGAATGTGAAGATACAGAAACATTTTACGTAAAGTTGTATAAAACATCTTTTAAAGAAAATATAAAGTTTTGGATATACATCAAAATCAGCAGAGCCACTAAATAAATAAATAGGCAATGTAAAATAACAAGAGAAAATTTAAAAGGATATCTAAAAAATATTGACGCCTATGATTTTTAAAATATGTTTAAGAAATCCGGTATTTCACAGGGCAGCCTTTCACAACACAGGTATGTTAGGACATTAAGGTCCTTCTGTTTTTAATTTACTAGTGTTTATAGGGTTACAAATGTCTTCTACCCTTGTCTTTTGTCTGATGGTGCAAAAAATTTTCATAAGCATGTATTTCTGAATGCCTGATGGTTTGACATATATAATATGCTGCTAGTATTAAAATATGAGACGGAAAACGCATCCAATCTTCTCACTGTTTACATAAATTCTAGGTTTCTCCTATTTACCTCAAGCACGTATGGATTGAATTCTTACCTTTTAATATTGCCATGGCATTCACATTGAACATAAGTTGAACTCTCTTATATGGTAGCTGGGTTCGGATTCTCTTGACAATTTCCAGTTCTAACCCTCACAGTTCCTCAGGGTGGTTGGCCCAAATATTGACCCTACACAGTTGTCTCCTCGTCGTGACTACCAGCTATGGAAATAGTCAGCAGAGACTTGAGAAGAGGGGTTTCAGGTGACAGAGCTCCCATGGGAGAAGCAGGATCCAATAGAGAGAAGAGAAAGAGCAGAGTGGTTTTATAGAGAGCCAGGAAGAACAATTTGTAGCCCAGGGAATCAGGGAATAACCCCTCACTCAGAAAAAGAGAGCCAGAAAGAAGAGACTTCTAGCCTAGGGACTCAGAGAATAGACCACTCAGAACAAGAAGCCCACACGAAGACCTTCCTGCCCAGAGGATTGCTTTCAAAAGAAGCCTGGGACTCTACCCCAGCTTCAGAGAGAATATTCATCCCTTCAGATTCAAAATCTGTCCTTAGCCATCAACGGGCTTTTGTCTGGAGCAATGGCTCAGGAATCTGATTCACCAATGGATCCCTAATCAGTCAGAAATGACAACAAAGACTTCAAAGGCATGCATTTAGGGTTCTGAGTGAGAGGCCCAGGATCCAGTGATGAATCTGTCCTAGTTGAGTTTCAACACCATAGTTGTTAAATAAAAAATTATTCAGTGATACTTCAAATGCACAGTAAAGAAGACTTTATTCAGGACCATCACCATAGATATAGGAACCACGGCAACACAGTCTTGGAGCTAGGGAGAGAGATGGGCTTAACTCTGAATACAGCATGGGGAAGTGGGAATTTATAGCCCAGGAGCAATGCAGGGGTCAGTGAATGGAAAATCACTAAGAGGAAACATCAGGAGTAAGGGAGATTCTGGCTAAACCGCCCTAAAAGAATTCTTGCTGAAGACTGGCCAGGGTGATCAGACATCACCTGCAGAATGGTGAAGAATGAAGAACCTGATCAGATATTGAGAATGAGGGGTTCTTTGGTAAACTTGGCAGTGTTCTTTGCTAATGCTGGATTTTGCGAGGAAGTGCACAGTTTAGCCTAGCTGAAGATTTAGAAGCCTGACTAAAGTTGGCCAAGCAAAGAATCTTTGTTATCAACATATTCCATCAAACCTCACATCCCTGCCTTAAATGATCAAACCATCCGCACTCCTGTATGCTACTGTTCTCCATGAAAAGTTACTTCTTCTTTGCCTTAACCAAAATCCAGCCATTCTAGAAAGACACCAGAAGGCTTTCTGCAGCATCTAAAATTCCCCACATTCTAGGCCCAAATCCTTTTCCTTTCCCTGTTGCTTTTAGATCCACATTGTGTAACCCTCATCTGGAAACCTCAGTTTCTTGGAGTCATTTTTTTTGGGGGGACGGAGTTTCCACTCTTGTTGCCCAGGCTGGAGTGCAGTGGCACGATCTCAGTTCACTGCAACCTCCGTCTCCCAGGTTCAAGCGATTCTCCTGCCTCTGCCCCTTGAGTAGCTGGGATTACAGGTGCCTGCCACCATGCCTGGCTAATTTTTTGTATTTTTAGTAGAGACAGGGTTTCATCCTTTTGGCCAGGCTGGTCCCGAACTCCTGATCTCAGATGATCCACCTGCCTCAGCCTCCCAAAGTGCTGGGATTATAGGCGTGAGCCACTGAGCCAGGCCATTCTTTTTATATAATGTAACTTGTACTTTTATGTAGTAAATTATCACAGTGGTGTCAGACACTCTGAGGAAGAGTATTTTACTGTATCATTCCCATTACCCAATCAGGAAGTCTTAACAGGCAGATTTTAACAAAAATATAAGACACAACTGTGCCCTAGCTTTTCTCACATACTTCCTACCTCACACTTCACACATTTCTTTTTCTCAGCACCCACTCTTAAGTAATAATTTATTTCCCCTGAATATTATTTACCTTCTGTGGGCTACTTTACATATCATCTGAAAGCATGATCAAAACAGTTATATTTGTGAATAATTTTATTTTGGTTTATTTCTTAGCAGAAGGAGGAGTTAATAGTAACATTTGTAGGCCGGGCACGGTGGCTCACGCCTGTAATCCCAACACTTTGGGAGGCCGAGGCTTGTGGATCATGAGGTCAGGAGATCGAGACCATCCTGGCTAACACGGTGAAACTCTGTCTCTACTAAAATACAAAAAAATTAGCCGGGCGTGGTGGCGGGCACTTGTAGTCCCAGCTACTCGGGAGGCTGAGGCAACAGAATGGCGTGAACCCAGGAGGTGGAGCTTGCAGTGAGCCGAGATCGCGCCACTGGGCTCCAGCCTGGGAGACAGAGCGAGACTCCATCTCAAAAAAAAAAAAAAAAAACAAAGGAACATTTGTAATCTCCCAGAGATTGCCAAGGAAAACATTCTCCTGGCTGAATTTATGTAGAGTTCATCATCTAAGCATAAAATATTTTATAAAGGAATGGGCCAATCAAATAACTGCTATGCGGTTGACAGCATAAACCAAGTTAGCTTAGTACCACTCTAAATAGTTGCTGGGAATATAATGATTTTCAAAGACATGATCTCTAGAAATAAATAACTAAAAGAGAAGCACGGTGTCATGCATTTATGCATACACATAAGCAGGGACTAGAGATCAAGAATAGAAATAAAAGAGGTTTTTACACTTGGGGTGCTAAGGTCGCAATGATTTATTTGGAGAGAAAACGGAGGCCCTTCTTTAGTAAATGCAAAGCACCATGTGTTTAATGAAGATACATGACCTAAGCTTTGAAGATCGTTTAACTAATTCAATAACCTTGCCAAGTATCCATTACTACATCTCAACAATCAAATTTACAGTGACATCTTTGAGTTAAATCTCTCCATAGATGTCTGGAAACAGCTTAATTCTGTTAACTGCTGCCCATTGAATTATGCTTTATTTGGTCGTAGAATTTCATGTCATCTGTTAGTCTCCCTCACAACTTGGGAGATGTTATTCCTGTATTGTCTGTTCTCGTTGATGAAGAGAAGTCTGTGATAAAGTAATTGTCCTTCCTTTGCAGGTAATCTGCCTTCCATCTCTGGTTGATTTGAAAATATTGTATTAGTCTTTAGTATCTTGCATTTTACTGTGGTATGTCTACATATGGATTTATACTTACTGAGTTTGCTCAGAGCTTGGAGTATTTCCTCAGTCTTAAAGGCCCTAGTTGTGAAAATGTTACTACAGAAAAACTTTCTTTTTTTAACTTAAAATCCTTTTTATTGGGAAATAAATGTAAGATTATAGATAAGTTTGAAAATAAAAGAATTGTTAGAACAAAAAATACTCATATGCCTGTTACCCTAATTTGTCTATTATTATTTTATTAAATTTAGGTTACCATTTGTTCTCTCTCTCTCTCTCTCTCAATATATATCCCAATTTTCAGTCTTTAGATCTAAATCTTTCAGCAACCTGGACTATCATGGCCCCAGTGTAATGCTTGGCTTTGTACCTCATGAGGGAAGAAATGTTTTTTTTTAATCTTAAGTTTTAGGGTACGTGTGCATCATATGCAGGTTTGTTACATAGGTATACATGTGCCATGTTGGTTTGCTGTACCCATCAACTTGTCATTTACATTAGGTATTTCTCCTGATGCTATCTGTCCCCCAGCCCCCCAACCCCTGACAGGCCCCAGTGTGTGATGTTCCCCACCCTGTGTCCATGCATTCTCATTGTTCAACTCCCATCTGCGAGTGAGAACATGCGGTGTTTGGTTTTCTGTCCTTGTGATAGTTTGCTGAGAATGATGGTTTCCAGCTTCATCCATGTCCTTGCAAAGGACATGAACTTATCCTTTTTTATGGCTTCATAGTATTCCATGGCACATATGTGCCACATTTTTTAATCCAGTCTATCATTGATGGACATTTGGGTTGGTTCCAAGTCTTTGCTATTGTGAATAGCACCACAATTAACATACGTGTGCATGTATACATCTTTATAGTAGCATGATGTATAATCCTTCGGGTATACACCCAGTAATGGGATCGCTGGGTCAAATGGTATTTCTAGTTCTAGATCCTTGAGGAATCGCCACACTGCTTTCCACAATGGTTGAACTAATTTACGCTCCAACCAGCAGTGTAAAAGCATTCCTATTTCTCCACATCCTCTCCAGTATCTGTTGTTTCCTGACTTTTTAATGATCATCATTCTAACTGGCATGTGATGGTATCTCATTGTGGTTTTGATATGCATTTCTCTGATGACCAGAGATGATGAGCATTTTTTATGTGTTTGTTGGCTGCATAAATGTCTTCTTTTGAGAAGTGTCTGTTCATATTCTTTGCCCACTTTTTGATGGGGTTGTTTTTTTCTTGTAAATTTGTTGAAGTTCTTTGTAGATTCTGGATATTAGCCCTTTGTTAGATGGGTATATTGCAAAACTTTTCTCCTATTTTTTAGATTGCCTGTTCACTCTGATGAGAGTTTCTTTTGCTATGCAGAAGCTCTTTAGTTTAATTAGATCGCATTTGTCTATTTTAGCTTTTGTTGCCATTGCTTTTGGTGTTCTGGTCGTGAAGTCTTTGCCCGTGCCTATGTCTTGAATGGTATTGCCTAGGTTTTCTTCTAGGGTTTTTTATGGCGTTAGGTCTTTCATTTAAGTCTTTAATCCATCTTGAGTTAATTTTTGTGTATGGTGTAAGAAAGGGATCCAGTTTCAGCTTTCTACATATGGCTAGCCAGTTTTCCCAGCACCGTTTATTAAATAGGGGATCCTTTGAGGGAAGAAAATTATTTCTAATATTTTAATCCAGCTATGTATGTAAAAAGAAGTCTTTTTCATATTTTATCTATTATTTCTGTATGATTGGAGTATGAGTCAAAACATCTCAATATAAATAAAAAGTTACATTTCAGTAATTTTTTTTTCCAAAATTACAAAACACTAGTGGTCAAAAACACTACTATTTCCAATTCTCTTTACTTTGTTAACATTACTTTTTGTACTTATGAGAGAAGAGTTTGCAATCCAAAAAGAGCAGGAAGGAAGAGAGATTAGAGATTTTTTCTCCCGCTTGCTCTATACATATGAGATATTTATATATCTATATATCAACAGTTGACCTTTGAATAACACTGGTTTAAACTGTGTGAGTCCACTTATAGGTGGATTTTTTCAGCCAAATACAGATTGAAAATATAGTATTTGTGGGACGTGTAACCCACATATGTGGAGGGCCAACTTTTCATATGCGAGCTCTGCAAGGTTGACTGTGGGACCTGAGTATGTGCAGACTTCGGTATATGCAGGGCTCCTGAATGCAATACCCCACTAATACTGAGGGATGACTGTATATGTCTCTATCTATCTACTCTATCACATATATATATATATATATACACACACACACACACACACAAATATGTGTATATATATATGTATGTGTGTGTGTGTGTGTGTATATATATATATATATATATATATATATATATATATATATATACTTCCTATATTACTTTGCTAGGGTTGTTATAACAATTACTGCAGACTGGGTGAGTTAAACAACAGAAATTTATTTTCTCACGGTTCTGGAGGCTAGAAGTGTGAGCTCAAGGCATCAGATGTGTTAATTTTATTCTGAAATTTCTCTCCTTGGCTTTTAGATAGTCATTTTCTCATCTTGTCTTCTCATGGACTTTTTTCTGTGCACATGTATGTCTGTACCTAAATTTCCTCTTCAAATAAGGACACCAGTGATATTGGATTAGGACCCAGACATGTGACCTCATTTTACATTAGTTACCTCTTAAAAGTCTCTATCTCCAAATATAGCCACCTTCTGATATACCGGGATGGCAGGGGGCAGGGTACAGCATATTAATTTGGGGAAAGGACACAATTCAGCCTATAACATATGCAATATATTCTTCTCTGATCTATATTATATAACTTTTACATATAATACATATATAATTTAATATACATTTTAACCCCTTGATTAATTTTCTCACTGCAGAGAAAACAAGAATTAAAGAAAAGCTTCAGGTGATACCGTTTTTGAATGAGTAAGAATTGAGCCTACCCTTAACGCAAGAATGAAGTAGAAATAAACTGACTTAGGGAACAGCATAAAAAAGTTCTCTTATGAGTCAAGATTTCAGTGTGATGTCATCATTTTTTCCAGGGATTAAATGTTAGAATATATTGCATGCCCATATTGAGGTGGAATCATAAACTTATTTCAGACTTATTATAATGGCTCATTTTCTTATGCCTTCACCATTGAACTTGTACTTAGCTGGGGATTGAGCTGAAAGTTTGCCTTTTCTGTATCTAGCATAGTTGCACCAAATCTGACCTTAATCCCAAATTTTCCTCTCTGTAATATCTTGTTTCCAAATGAGGCTCACATTGAATTTTCTCTTGTTAGAAATATAACTGGCAACACCAATCAAAACCATTCATTCTATTCAGTTGCCTGTGAACAAGCTTGATTTGCTTTGTTATTAATACAGCTTCTTGTGGGTTAAGTAGAAAGCTCTTTTGTAAATATCCCTCAGTTTAAGTATATATATAGTTTACATTTCCAGGTAAACTATAAATTCTCTAAGAAAGGCCCAGCACGGTGGTTCAAGCCTATAATCCCAGCTCTTTGGGAGTCTGAGATGGGTGGATCACTGGAGGTCAGGAGTTTGAGACCAGCCTGGCCAATGTGGTGAAACCCCATCTCTACCAAAAATACAAAAATTAGCCAGGCATGGTGGTGCACACCTGTAATCTCAGCTACTCAGGAGGCCAAGGCAAGTGATTAAACCCAGGAGGTGGAGGTTGCAGTGAGCTGAGATCGCACCACTGCACTCCAGCCTGGGTGACAAGCTGGACTCTGTCTCAAAAAAAAAAAAAAAAAAAAATTCTGTGAAAAGATCTGTGATTTCCATTCTCCTTTATAGTAATTGTTAAGCACTCACAATTCGATGGTTATAACAACTATCAAAGAAAAACAATTATTTTAATAAATATTTTTCATCATTTTCTCCTTTCTAAGCCCTATGCTATGCACTAAAAACTGCAGAGAAAATCAACACATTCTCTACCTCACAGCAGATTTCTTGGAGAGAGATAGGGGTGGGGAGGGGAATAAGGGTTGCTAAATGTTGTCAACTTTGTAATACAACTCTCAAAGGGAGATAGTTATTAGGGAGGCAAAGTGCTCAGGCTCAGATTTCAGGTTGCCTAGATTTGAATTCTGTCTTCACTGCTTCTTTCATGATTTGCCCAAATTACTTAAGCTCTTTAAACCACAGTTTCCTCATCCTTAAGATAGGGATAATAAATAGAACTTATCTCATAAAATTACTGTGAGGATTATAAGTGATTATGAAGTTGATTAAATTTCCCCAGTGCTTCATACAAAGAAAGGACTCAAAGGATATGCTAGTTCATAGTATGGGCATAGAAGAAGATATCCCTTCTCTCCTGGGATATAGGATATACATAACTGTCCACTATAAAATTGAAGATAGGCTAGAGAAAAGCTAAAAATGAAGAATCTAATAACTCTTTAGCCAAGAGAAAATGAAACATGAGGGAAAGGGAGAAGTTCCAAATGAGGTCCAAATTTGTCATGGGCCACTGAATGGTGGTGCCATTCAGGCAGAGGAAACCCAGAAGGAGGAGTCATTCTGTAGTTAGAGGGCACTTAATGAGATAATATTAGAGATAACTGAGGTTGAGTTGTTGGTACATATCTGGGTGCAAAGTCTCCATAGGTCCGGAATTTTGAATAGTTTTCTGGAGTCATCTGGTTATTGTTAAAGCCAAGAGAACTGGTGAGATCACAGAATACAATAATGATCAATAAGAGGGAAGGGAAGAGAGCCAAGAATGGGAGACTGGGAAGCATACACATTTAATTAAGGTTTGGTAAGGTGAAAGGTGTCAGCAGAGAATGTAAAGGTGAAATAATGAGAGAAAAAGGAGGACATCAAGGAGAAAGTCGTGTTTTGAAAAAAACAAAAAGGACACATTTTCAAGAAAGACATTGTCAATAGTTTAAATGTCACAAAATAGTAGAGTATAATGCAATTAAAAAAAACAAAATCTATTGCTTTTGTTAATTAAATAACTAGTAACCTCGGCTGCAGCAGTTTCAGTAGAGTGAGGAGAGTTGACACCAAACTGCACCAGTGGAGTGAAAATAAGTGGGAAGAAAGAGTGAGGAAGTGGAGGGCAGTCTTTTTTTTTTTTTTAATAAAATATTTTCCCAAACTGTCTTTTCTGGAACTTCCAACATGTCTGCTTAAGAGCTTGTCTAAGTTGAATTCATTCGAACTTCTTGAACCTAATTAGTTTCTTTTTGCTGTTTTTTTTTTTTTTTTTTTGAGATGGAGCCTTGCTCTATCACCCAGGCTGGAGTTCAATGGTGCAATTTCGGCTCACTGCAACCTCCTCCTCCTGGGTTCAAGCAGTTCTCCTGCCTCAGCCCAATTAGTTTTAAAGACGCTGCATATATTGGCAGGGAAAACCTAGAACACAAAGTCAAACTTCCAATTATCTCCCTTCAGTGCTCAAATCAAGCGTTCATTTGTTGCAAGGAATGGGGATCTGGACTCCAGGGAGAAGAATAGAGTTTTAGAAGGAGAGTTCTCCTAAAACTAAATGGAAGGAGGGTTCTTTGAGATACCAAGGATTTGCAGGACTTTATTTACAATGAAATGTTAGTTTCAGACAGCCCAGGAGGAATAGGTCTATTAAAGGAAAGCAAGAGTAGTTGGCGTAAGGAAACAATTTGCATTGGAGCCTGAGAGTGAGTATAGTAATGACCACATGAGAGACCCATTTGACTCAAGTACTTCAAAGCATTGCCAGTGTTAGTCTTTGCTCCACAATCAAGTGGGGAAAAAGTGAAATGTCTTTGAAGAGCATTTCCTGTAGGTGGCCTTTGAGGAGGTCCTGAAAATTCCAAACCTGCAAGTATTAATGGCAAAGAATAAAAATTTCTTTATGTAAAATACTTTTAAAAATCTTTCTAAATAGCAAGACATTATATATTACCATTGTTAAAAGATAAACGAATTGAGAAATATCATTAGAATTATATGCAGCAGATAAAATGGTCACTTTTTCTTTTGAGACGGAGTCTCGCTCTGTCGCCAGGCTGGAGCACAGTGGCGTGATCTTGGCTCATTACAACCTCCAACTCCCTGGTTCAAGTGATTCTTCTGCCTCAGCCTCCCGAGTAGCTGGGATTACAGGCACGTGCCACCACCCCAGCCAATTTTTGTATTTTTAGCAGAGACGGGGTTTCACCATGTTGGGCAGGATGGTCTTGATCTCCTGACCTTGTGATCCACCCGCCTTGGCCTCCCAAAGTGTTGGGATTACAGGCGTGAGCCACTGCGCCCAGCCAAAAGGTCACTTTTTAAACTTAAAAATTATTAAGAAAACAGTGAAAACTTAATGTTTAAAAGAGTAGAAGATAGGGAAAATTATTACACAGAAAAAGATAAACAACAGAGAAAGATAAATAAATTGCCAGTGACTATGTAAAAAGTTGCTCAGCACCAGTGGTAGTTCAAATCCAAATAGCACTGAGTTAGCATTTGTTAACTAATAAATTGGCAAAAATTATATTTTGATAAAACCCAGTGTTGTTGACATCCCAAGGAAAAGGGCTATGCTCACACAGCCTTGGAGCATGTGCACATTGATGATTTTTTTGGCATAAAAATTAGTGGTTTCTATTAAAATCAGCAGTGTAATTCACAATCGCTAAGACATGGAATCAACCTAGGTGCCCATCAACTGTGGATTGGATAAAGAAAATATGGTACATATATGTCATGGAATACTTTGCAGCCATAAAAAAGAATAAAATCATGTCCTTTACAGCAACGTGGATGCAACTCGATGCCATTATGCTAAGCGAATTAACACAGGAATAGAAAACCAAATACCACATATTCTCACTTATAAGCAGGAGCTAAACATTGAGTACACGTGGACACAAAGATGGGAACAATAGAAACTGGGGACTACTCGAGGGTAGAAGGAGGGAGGGGGTAAAGGTTGAAAAACAACTACTATGCCTAGTACCTGAGTGATCGGATCAATCATGCTGCAAACCTCAGCATTACACAACATACCCATGTAACAAACCTGCACATGTACCCACTGTATCTAAAATCAAAAGTTGAAATTATAAAAAATAAAAAAATAAAATCAACAATGTATATTTCTCTCACACAGCCATCACGATGATGTATTTGGAATAAGATATGCATAAGGATGTTCGTTGCAGTGTTGTCTGCAAGGGCAAAGTGAAAACAATCTGAATAACCAACAATATGACACAGAGTAAGTAATTATTGGTACGTCTGTACAATGCCTCATGCAATCACCACTGACAGCGTGGGAAAGAGAGACATCTATTATGAAAAGACCACTAAGACATATGATTACATGATAAGTGCAAGGTTCATGAATAAATAGCATGTATACTAGTATAGCATACTTCTTTCTAAGAAAGAAACCATAACACATACAAGAATGGACAAGAAGTTATTAACAATAGCTAACTTTGGTGATAAGACTGTAGGTTGTAAAAAGCCAGACTTTCATTTCTCATTTTAAACCCAATGAATTATTTAAATCTAACCCTACTGCATTCATTATCTTTATAATAAAATAAATATGTATAACAATGAAACATAGTTTTTAAGTATTTGGGACATAAATTAAACATTAATAGATTACACCTCTTAAACTTGGTACTTTAGTATCCCATTTCTCTGTGAGAACTCTGAAAGCTTCATCTTCCACAGTTTAGGTAATTCTTTGGTGTCTTATTTTGTTATTTTCTTGCCCTGAGATTAGCAATGTCAGATCTCCAAACTGCTAACTCTTCTCTTTGGCAGATCAAATGCTTCTTCTTAAAAAAATTAAGTTTTTAAAATGTATTTCATAGGATTTTTGTTCTCTCTCTCCCTCTTTTTGTGCATATGTGTGTGTGTCTGATTAGTCTTTATTATCTTAAAATGGTTAGTCCTGATAGACCTGTTTCTTCAAAATTTCTCTCAGTTCTTTGGCAGTTTGCTCTTAGCTTATAATTAAAGATCAATTTCTGACTTGTCTTGTTCTAGAAAACCTCAATGGAAATTACAGGAAGCTGAATCGGATATTAATTAAAAACATAAACCTGGTGAAACCCGAACATAGAGGCTCCAGTTCAAAGATGCTTCCAATAGTTGACATGGCCCTTCATTCCTTAAAACCAGCTATTTTTCTTTTGAATTACATTACCTTTAATTCTGTAAATTGGATGTTATATAGTACCATGAAAACTGCTGTGAGTAATTATAATACTCATTGCTGAGTGATGTGACTTCTTTCTCAAGGCTATTTCTGAGGGAAATTGTACAATTAGATCTTTAGGTATTGTGACTTGTTTTGGAAATCATGGTGGCCCTCCAGGGAGCTAATGAATCTTTAATTATTTAGAGGTTCACATGAGACCCCTTACAGATATAAGCACATTAGCTCTGTAGCTAAGGGAACATTTAAAAACAGTAACATGAAATGTGTCAGACATAGAGGAAAGATGAAGAAGCAAGTAGAAGCTAATGCAAACAGAGGAACTGCCAGCTCTCTGTGGCACTCTAGCTCTCTCTGTCAGTATTTGGTTGGCAATGTAGACATAGTGGATGAGTGCAATTACATATGTTAGGCTCATTCTGAAATGCAGGAGCATTTTAGATTTTCATGTAGAAGCCTGACAAGCAAACTACATCTAGGATATACTTTGATAACTTTGAGTTGAGAGCCAAATTTTTTGAAGGTAAACCATCTCCCTGTTTTAAAGTAGTGTTTAAAATTATAAAAATTTTAATACATCTGTAATATAAAATATTTAGATATAACTACTACAAGTGCAAATGAATTTTTTTTTTCTACTTCTGCATTCAACTTTTCTCTTCTCCCTTCAGGGAAAACACTTTTGTGTAAAGGCCTCCAAAATATATGTAGAGGCGTATGTATGTTAAAAACATGTATACATATAATGCATAACCAAACAAATGAAATATCCTAAACATATGGACCTGAAAATTGCTTATAATAAATTTGAACTGAACATATAGGCATAAATGTGGTTCAGAAGTGTCCAGTTGAAGCAACTTCACTTTGTTAGGTCAACAAAAGTTGGGGACACCAAGATCTACTCCTCTGATTTTGTTCTAGCATTATCTTAATGGAAATGTTTACTGAAATGGAAATACATGTAGTGGACATCGTGGTGGTGTCTCAAGCATTCAGTGTTCCCTGCTCTCACACACTCCTAACCAAATAATGAATTTCTCAGCTTCACAATGTTTAAGTGACATGAGTCCCATGCCCAATTCTTGGTCATTTTAATTGGTGCATGGAAGGAACGTGTGCCTTCTGCTAATCAAATCAGAATGAAGTACAACTTTTTCATTCCATGATTGAAGAGGGAAATGCCTTCTTTCCAAATGCAGCAGAGGAAGCACGAGGTACTAGGATTGGAAGTTGTCTACTCATGACATGATATTTTAAGCCATAGAATAAAACTGAGACCTAATGTCTTAGTCCTTTCAGGTCGCTATACCAGAATATCACAGCCTGGATGGTTTATGAACAACATAAATTTATTTCTTACAGTTCTAGAGGCCAGGAAGTCCAAGATCATGGTGTCAACAGATTCAGGGTCTAATGAGGATTTGTTTCCTGGTTCACAGACAGCTGTCTTTTTGCTGTGTCCTCACATGGAGGAAGGGGCAAGGAAGTTCTCTAAGGTCTCTTTTATAAGGGCACTAATCCCATTCATGAGGGCTCTGTCCTCATGACCTAATCACCCCCCGAAGACCCACTGCCAAATATCATCACACTAGGGATTAGATTTAAACATACAAATTTTGGGGGACTACAAACATTCAATCTATATCACTTAAGGTAGAGTGAAGAAACAGGGAGGACAAGAAGCATTTATTTTGTGTCATTATTAAACTTCTGCATTAAGCTATCTTGAGCCTATACTATTGTTCAAAATCTCTTTATTATACAAGCCATTTTGAATTTTGATTGTTTGCAACCAAAATTAACCTAATAAGTTAAAATGTACTATAATGTTACATCATAATTTGTCTGTACTAGTAGTATTTGCTAGAGTGTTTAGGGGAATACTTGCTTGTTAACTTTTTAGTAAATATAACACTCCATGTTCAAATACATTTGGGAAATGCTGAGCATTTCACACTTTTAGAGACTCAAAACAGGCAGCACATTTTTAAAAAATAAAAATAAAACCAAATAGCATTGCATTTGGAGAATGGTACAAAAAAAGAGAATTTGATAAACCAGAGTTATCAGAACTCAGTGGATACTATGTGTTAGACATTATTATAAGCCATTAAACATTTTACAAGCTTGATACCTGAGTTAAAAATTAATAACCCAAAGACACATCAGAAGAGAAAAGTTGACATATTTTTATTATATTAATGACCTAAAAATATCATAGCAACTAACGTCATTATAGTCAACAAGTGAATGAACGTAAATAATATTAAATAACTATTAGAAAGTCTCTCTGATTAAGCATGGAAATAAATAGGCAGTGCTTTTGACCAATAAATGGAGGACTTACAATATTTTCCAATACGAAACAAAAAGATTCTAAATGTAAAGGTTTTAGGCCCAAAATATGTTAGTCAATTCATGACAGCAGAAATTCAGCAGGTCATATTTTTGGGGTAATGTAAATGACAATAGAAATCATGGACTAAAGTGTAACAAATAAGTAATATCTAGGCAGGTGGAAATTTTAAGATCTTTTAAATTAACTTCTGGACTATAGCAAAAATTCAAACTAAAATTCATCAGGGAGTCAGGGAAGGTCAAATGAAGAAGCATGGGGATTGAGGCAAAAACCCTGAATTATACCAATATTATCTTTTTTTTTTTTTTTTTTTTTTTTTTGAGAGAGGATCTTGCTCTGTTACCCAGGCTGGAGTGCAGTGGTGCAATCATAGTTCACTGCAACCGCGACCTCCTAGGCTCAAGGGATCCTCCCACCTCAGCCTCTTGAGTATCTGGGACTACAGACCCTCATCACCACAACACCCGTCTAATTTATTTATTTTTTGTAAAGATGAGGTCTCACTTTGTTGCTCAGGCTGACAAGTATTATCTTAATGTTATAGAAAAAAAGTAATTCTGGCCATATATAGGTATTATTCTTTGCAGTGGAATATCATTTCAGAAATTTGTGCCAAACATAAAATTAGTTTTCTAGTAGTAAAAAGTAATTAAACTCTAAATTATTATTACCCCTAGTATACTGGGGAATGAGTGTGTGTTCCAAATGAAAAAAACTTGGGATGTCTAATGAGATGCTGTTTTCTGTCGCAGAAAATCTATGTAAAATGTTTTTTCTCACGTGTACACTGTTGATATTTGAGACAGCACATGTTAACACTTCAAGAAGTAAAATAAATGTGTTGATTATATCCACAGTTTTCATATTTATTAACTATATATTTTGTTTTTAATGTAATGCCTATTGAAAAACCTGTAAATAGTTGTTTCTTAAAATTGATAAATACTGCCTAAGATTTTTCTGTATATTTTCATATTTCAATTTTCCTGTGAGGTTAGAATGAACACTTTTAGCTAAGACATTTGGGCCTCCAAATCCTAAACCTTTCAGAATGTTAGTTTATTATTTGGCTTTTACCTAAATTATTTTCTGCTTATTCAAGATCCTTAGGTCTATCCAGTTACGTTTTTATTTTTTTATTTTTATTTTTTTATTTTGAAACAAAGTCTCACTCTGTTGCCAAAGCTGGAGTGCATTGGCATGATCTGGGCTCACTGCAACCTCTGCCTCCCAGGTTCAAGTGATTCTCCTGCCTCAACCTCCCGAGTAGCTGGGATTACAGGGGCATACCACCACACCCAGCTAATTTTTGCATTTTTAGTAGAGATGGGGTTTCACCATGCTGGCCAGGCTGGTCTCAAACTCCTGACTTCAGGTGATCTGCCCACCTCAGGATCCCAAAGTGCTGGGATTATAGGCGTGAGCCACCATGCCTGGCTGTATCCAGTTACATTTTTAAGACCAGCCAGGCTTAATATATATTTGGTCTTTAGCTCAATTCAATTTGTTGCATTTTGTCCATTGTACTTCATGTGACACAGAATATATCTTAATTTAAAAAGACATATGTTTGTTGAGCTATCTGTTACATTGGTATATCTTGGAATTTTAAAAAATATAAACCACAGAAGCCAATTATGGCTGACATTAACAATAAATAGGTTTATCACAGAAATAGTGGGGAACTTGTAGAACTGTTGAGAAGGCTAGAGAGCCAGATCAAAGCTAGGCAGCCAGGAAATGTACCCCAAACCATGCTGTAGAACTCATCCAGGGAGGAAACCACTGTCACCACCAGTAAGAAGTAACACCGAAGATGCAGAGAGCAACAATTGCAGCAATTGCTCAATCCTAGGCTAACTGCAAAGCCACCAGCACCACTCCCACTTGTTCGCTTTGCAACAGATAGCTGCAAAGGAGGCTGAGAAAGCAAGCATTTGACATTTTAGCTTCTAAAGCAGGAGGTGGTTTCTTGTTTTCGTCAAAACTGAGAGGCTGAGGAATTCCTCAAACACAGGAACAAACATCAAATAGTAAATATTCATGCTTTAACTTGCTCAATATCAATATAAACTTTCCCTTTTGAAAGTAAACACGAAAGACCCAAGCTTCCTTCTAACAGAGTGCAACTATTTCTCTAATAATTGAACATGTACCTACAATCTCTTGAACAATGAAACAATAAAAAATTCTCAATCACAGCATGTACTCTAAGTCTAAGAATTCTGGGTTATGTCCATTCCTCTACGAAGTTCTTCACTATACTCTCTTGACATTCTGCCATATATCATTTAAAAATTAAGTTAATCACCCTCAATAAGCCCTGTTTTAAAAAGAGGGATAAATGGAGAGGAAAGAAGGAAAGTTGTTAAGATACATAAGTATGCACAGGACAATACAAGAGAAACAATGTGTTTGGATGTAAAGGCTCTCCTTTCTGCAAGTGGCCAGCAGGTCACTATTGGCATCTATGGCCATGTGCCCTCAGCTAACACCTCTGCTAGTCAGGGTTTTGCCTTGTGAGATGACCAAATATTCATTCCTGACAGAGAAATGTCCTTGATAATCTTTTTGTGTGAGCGTGCCATGGTCATTGTTAATTTCTTTCATTTAACAAAATAATAGACTTTATTTTTTGAGCAGTTTTAGCTTTATGGAAAGATCGAGCAGAAAGTACAGAGTTCTCACATACTGTCACCTTTATCCCACCCCCAGTTTACATTAGAGTTCACTCTTTGTGTGGTACAGGTCTAGGAGTTTTGCAAAACGCATAATGTCATGTACCCATCATTACATTATTACCAACGTATTTTCAATCCCCTAAAAATCGCCTGTTTCAGAACTGTTTATCTCCCTACCCATCCCCAAACTCCTGGCAACCACTGAGCTTTTTTGTTGTTGTTGTTGTTACTTAGTTTTTATTTCATAATCATAAACTTAACTCAACTCTGCCATCCAGCTAGGCATGGAAGGGAACAAGGAAAACATGGAACCCAAAGGGAACTGCAGCAAGAGCACAAAGATTCTAGGATATTGCAAGCAAATGTGGTGGAGGGGTGCTCTCCTGAGCTACAGAAGGAATGGGTCTGGTGGTGAAAATAAAACACAAGTCAAACTCATTAGAATTGTCCACAGTCAGCAATGGTGATCTTCTTGCTGGTCTTGCTATTCCTGTACCCAAAGTGCTCCGTGGCTTCCACAATATTCACACGTTCTTTCACCTTGCCAAACGCCACATGCTTGCCATCCAACCACTCAGTCTTGGCAGCACAGATGAAAAACTGGGAACCACTTGTGTTGGGTCCAGCATTTGCCATGGACAAGATGCCAGAACCTGTATGCTTTCGGATGAGGTTCTCATCATCAAATTTCTCCCCATAGATGGACTTGTCACCGGTGCCATTAGGGCGTGTGAAGTCACCACCCTGACACATAAACCCTGGAATAATTCTGTGAAAGCAGGAACCCTTATAACGAAATCCTTTCTCTCCAGTGCTCAGAGCACGAAAGTTTTCTGCTGTCTTTGGAATCTTGTCTGCAAACAGTTTGATGGAGATGCGGCCCAAGGGCTTGCCATCCCTGGTGATTTCAAAAAAGACGACGGAGTTGACCATGGCTGATAGTACAGGGCTCACAGCGATGGTGGCGTCTGCAAAGATAACCACTGATCTTTTCACTGTCTTTATAGTTTGGCCTTTTCCAGAGTGTTGTATAGTTGAAATCACAGTATGTACCCTTTTCAGACTGGCTTCTTTCACTTAGCAAAATGTCTTTGTTTTTCTGTATCTTTTTGTGGCTTGATAGTTTTTTCCTTTTAGCACTGAATAATATTCCACTGTAGGAATATACCACAGTTTGCTTATGCAGTCACCTATTGAAGGACATCTTGGTTGCTTCCAAGTTGTGGCAGTCTTCATTTCTTTCTTTCTTTCTTTCTTTCTTTCTTTCTTTCTTTCTTTCTTTCTTTCTTTCTTTCTTTCTTCTTCTTTTTTTTGTTTTTTTTGAGACAGAGTCTTGCTCTGTCACCCAGGCTGGAGTGAAGTGGCACAATCTCAGCTCATTGCAACCTCCGCCTCCCAGGTTCAAGTGATTCTCTTCCTCAGCCTCTGGAGTAGCTGGGATTACAGGTGTGCACCACCATGCCTGGTTAGTCTTCAGGAATATTTACAGGACTGTATAGAATTAGGAGCCATCAAAGGGGATCCCTGAATTCTTTCTGTTTTTCTTACAAATACCAGTTTTAAGGTCAAGATTTACTACCCCATGCCACAGTGTAGCCGCATTTTAAATTTTAAATTTTTGACTGTTTGTTTAAAGGTCTCAGGCAACCTAAAAGGCTAGATAGAAGTCTCTCATCCTCTAACGAAGGATGGATTGTAAAATGGAATACTGCTAAGACTCTCCCTTTGGGTACTAATTCTGCAAAAACCTAGAATCTCAGAGACAAGAGACAAGTATTTGGAGTGGATCATTAGATGTAATGACAAAAGGAGTCACTTCAACATTCATAACAAATATCAAAGATTGTTGTATTTTTTATATAGGAGACACCAGACAAGCTTATACTTAGTTACTAGTTCAGAGGATACACCACCACATCCTCTAGCATGAGTACAACCTTATAAGCCATTGTCTCCAGCTGACACTGTGATTGAGTCTTTAATAAAATATTCACCATTCTGTAATAATAATAATTTTGGTTAGTGATAGGATAAATGGTGGACCAGGTGAGTCCAATGAATATCTACTCATTTGTTATACAACAAGTTCTTTTAAGAGAAGGATGTAGAACAGGATATTATGGCAGTATATATAAGGCATTCAATGTACCCGTGGAGAGTGGCGATCAGAGAAAAATGATGTCAGGTAAAGCAAATGTAATTCAAGGTTAAAGGTAGATTCCATTTACAAAATTCCTTGTTGCCTTTATCATAGAGGAGCTCCAATAAAATCAACAAGTCTGACAAAAGGTGACTGGTTTATTCACCCAGGATATGTTATTGTGTGCTTAGCCTTGGACTTTGTTGCTTGTGTGTTGGACACCTAATAGTCTTGACAGCTAAATAGGCTTTTGTAAGCGAGAGTGGTAAAGTCCAACATGTTGCTAAACCTATGTGTATTCTCTACTGCTACCACCAATGTTGCTGTTTATTAGCCTTCTAAGCAAGCAATGTAGTGCCTGGTGAAAGAGATTGTTTCATACCTTCATATCTATTTGATAACCTTCCTGATGATAGTTTCGTGAGCATTCGTATTAAGCACAAATATTCTTACACTCTGGCTCATTTTCTGTGGTTCATCTACATATTTTTTCCCCAAAACTCATTGCCACCAATCCTTCAGTCTTTGTCTTTCCGAGTCCCTAATTATCTTTTCTTTTCTTTTTTTTTTTTTTTTTTTGAGACAGAGTTTCACTTTGTTGCCCAGGCTGGAGTGCAGTGGTGCAATCTTGGTTCACTGCAACTTCTTCCTCCTGGATTCAAGAGATTCTCCTGCCTCAGCCTCCCAAGTAGCTAGGATTGCAGGCACACACCACCACATCTGGCTAATTTTTGTATTTTTAGTAGAGACGGAGTTTCACCATGTCAGCCAGGCTGGTTTCGAACTCCTGACCTCAGACAATCCACCTGTCCTGTCCTCCAAAAGTTCTGGGATTACAGGTGTGAGCCATCAGGCCTGGCCCCAAGTCCCTAATTATCTAGACAAATTATTAGCTGCCACATATACATCAATAATATCTCTCCTTCTAGACATCGTGGACAACCAATTACATAGGCTGAATTTCTTTTAAAATTGCATTCACGTAGGTTATAATGCCTAAGCAATCTACTTTTGGCTGCTGCTGTGATGTTGTACAGTGACTTCTGTAAATCAGGCTCAATTTTTCCCTCACTAATCAACTGGCCATAGAGAACTTCCCATGAAGACATAGGTATAGATTCTATTATTCCTACCTGCTGATGAAGCAGGATAGTTAATTGGAAAACACTTATTTCATGATAAGCAGCTCATGTTGTCATATTTTTTTGCATTGATAGGACTTCAGTTTCTACAATGGTCCAGGATCAATCAAGAGTTCTTTAAAGAAAACATTTATTTTGTCAAAGAAAGATGCATTTTGTTCCAAATCCTAAGAACAATAGTAGTGGTGTGTCAGAGGCTCTATTGCATCTGGATATAAAAACAAAGGGGCACAATATTCCTGACCAGTTGGGAATTATTATCTTCATCTCAATCCCATCAAAAGGTGGCAGCATGACAAGTCATGAAGTAAAAGGACCAGGTGATAAAATGAGGTCTCCAAAATCCAAAGCATCAAAGTTCTCAGTTAGTGGTCAGGGCTGCAAAGTGCCATAATTTTGCACTTTGGAAGGTATATCTTGAGAATATTGAGTGTATGAGACAAGTTAAAAGGTCATGCAGCCAGACGCGGTGGCTCACGCCTGTAATCCCAGCACTTAGGGAAGCTGAGGTGGGCGGATCATGAGATCAGGAGTTCAAGACCAGCCTGGCCAATATGGTGAAACCACATCTCTACTAAAAATACAAAAATTAGTGGGGCATCGTGGTGCCCTTCTGCAGTCCCAGCTACTTGGGAGGCTGAGGCAGCAGAATCGCTTGAACCCTGAAGGCGAAGGTTGCAGTGAGCTGAGTTGGCGTGACTGCATCCAGCCTTGGCAACACTGCGAGACTCTGTCTCTTAAAAAAACTAAAAAAATAAAAATAAAAAAAATTTAAAAGTTCGTGATTAACACCTCTGTTAGCCTCTGATCTTTATAATAATTATCACACACACACAAACCAAACACCACACATAGAGGAAACAGTAAAAGATTAAAGGACACAGCTAAAAATACATTTGTATTATTACTTCCCAAAGTTCTAAAATTATCAGAAGGGACTAGTGAATCTTTAAAAAATATTGATTATCCAACACTTTTTAATAACCAGTATAATTGCATTGAAGGCTACTGAACATGCACATGTTCCTAAAATTTTTCTGTTATGGTGTCTGGTTTGCGAAAGGAACAAAATTAAACATAGTTCCTTGGCAATTTTTCCCTCTTCCACTCTACTAATTGGCGTATGTGCGATGTGTGTTTATTGTAAAATAGGAATAAGATTCAGAGGTCAAGAATCAAAGTGAGTCAGAGTAGGAAAAGCCAGACTCAAGCATAACAGAAGGGCAGAGCCTGTCAAACCCCAAAATTAAAGGGTAAATTTCAACACAAGTAGAAGTGGTTCAAAAGCTAAGGGCATCCTCATAGTTCATGAAAAACAAGTATTCACGCAGGTAGCAGACTCTAATCTGCTTCAAGCCAATGTGCTATTCTCTTCGTGTTATTTATATCCCTCAGAATACCTCAAAGTTCCCAAGAGCAGTCAGTATTTAACTCTAAACTATATCATCTATATGATATATTTATTATATATAATATATATATTTATTATTTGTATAATACATATTATATATTTATTATATATTATATTTATATTGATTATATATAATATATATATATTTATTATTATATATTTTTTTGAGACGGAGTTTTGCTTTTGTTGCCCAGGCTGGAGTGCAATGGCGCTATCTCGGCTCACCACAACCTCTGCCTCCCAGGTTCAAGTGATTCTCCTGCCTCAGCGTCCTGAGTAGCTGGGATTACAGGCATGTGCCACCACGCCTGGTTAATTTTGTATTTTTAATAGAGAAGGGGTTTCTCCATGTTAGTCAGGCTGGTATTGAACTCCCATCCTCAGGTGATCTGCCTGCCTCGGCCTCCCAAAGTGCTGGGATTATAGGTGTGAGCCAACGTGCCCAGCCAACTATGTAATATTTTAATTGTGTAGTGATAACCCTCATCAAAAGAAGTATTCATTATGGTCAGTGTACTCTGCTTATTTACCACTGAAGCTTAACACAAAATTGTTGAAATAAACATGCATATTGAAGTACTTAGCTAGCTATTGAGGCAATACAGGTTTCTAGATTTACTCATTTTTTTCACTGTACACACATGTCGTGTGTGTCATGATAAACCCATGTGTGTGCATATATTGATTAAATATTATATTTCTTTTTACTTTTATTATTATTATTGAGAAAAGATCTCACTCTGTCGCCCAGGCTGGAGTGCAGCGGCACAATCTCGGCTGCCTGCAGCCTTGTCCTCCCAAAGCCCTAGACCCTGTAACATAATGGAATATGTATGTTTCTAATTTGTGCAATATGGAAGCAGGAATACTACATAGAACTGTCATCTTTTCCTATTGCATTTATTTTGGTGTGGAAAAATATAATAATTGGCTTCAGTCAGTAAGTCTATTTCATTCAAGAATATTTAAATATAATCCAAACCATCTTAGGTACATTTTGTGATACAAGAGGATGGTATCTTCTATTTGGAAATATAAAATCCCAGGGTCTCACAGTTTAAGTATACTTTCCAGGGGTATGTATAAAACAAGAATCCCACTTTACAAAGTTAATAGAAAAAATATATGCTAATTGGAAGGAGAGGCTTCTGATTGAGGATAAAGTGGAAATTTTCACATACTGCTAATTACACTTTAATGGAGTAAGAAAAAAAGAATTGGAAATAGTACCCTATAAAACTTCTGAAATGAAATTACAGTTTCTCTCTCTCTCTCTCTTTTTTTTTTTTTTTCTTGAGACGGAGTTTCGCTCTTGTTGCCCAGGCGAGAGTGCAATGGCGCTATCTCAGCACACTGCAACCTTCACCTCCCGGGTTTAAGTGATTCTTTTGCCTCAGCCTCCCAAGTAGCTGGGATTACAGGCATGCACCACCATGCCCAGCTAATTTTTTGTATTTTTAGTGACCCACCACGCCTGGCTGTCTCCTCTTTTTAGAATTAGGAGAACTGATTTTTTTCAGTGCTAAACTGGCACTGTCCTATGTTTTCAAGAAAGCAATATGGTGAAACGAAAGAGCCTGGATAGCATGTTTTGTTAGCTGGCGTCTAGTTCTTTAAGTTCCATGAGTCTATTGTGTCTTCTTTACATCTCAAAAAGAAGAGAGAAGAAACCTGCATCTAATTACTGAAGCAGTTTCATTCAGCAAATGTAATTGCATCGCAGGCACATCTCAAATTAAAAATCTTCATCTTGGTCTCTGTCATTTCCATTTTAAACTGGGACTGAATAACCTGTTTTGCCACTCAAAATAATAGCCAGTGTCTCTTTCTTATTAAAATATGTGATCTTTTGCTTGATTACCTAATTATGTCACCTGCACCTTACATGAGGCAGATAGAAGAGTCTTCCAGTCTGCCAGAGCAGATCTACCAAACTAGACTGCACATACAAATTACCTGGGGATCCTGATAAATTACAGATTCTGAGTCTGCTTTCAAAGAGGGCCTCAAGTCAAGCTGATGGTATTAGTCCCAGGATCCCTCACTGAGTAGCAAGGTCTTAGAATTAAAAAGTGTGCAAGTATAAGGCCGGGAGCAGTGGCTCATGCCTGTAATCCCAGCACTTTGGGAGGCCAAGGCGGGTGGATCACCTGAGGTCAGGAGTTCGAGACCAGCCTGGCCAACATGGTGAAACCCCGTCTCTACTAAAACTACAAAAAATTAGCCAGGTGTGGTGGCACGCACCTGTAATCCCAGCTACTAAGAAGGCTGAGGCAGAAGAATTGCTTGAACCTGGGAGGTGGAGGTTGCAGTGAGCCAAGATCACGCCACTACACTCCAGCCTGGGCAACAACAGCAAAACTCCATAAAAAAAAAAAAGTGCAAGTTTATAAACATGGAAACGTGGACAATTGTAAGCAATATTAGAGAACTGTAGAAAACAATTTTTTAAGTGATATGTTTAACCTATTTAGAATAAAACCCATTATGGTCCTAGGAATTTCTGGAACTGCCTTACTTGTGAGAAACATGATCCTAAGATGCCCATTTGTTTATCAGTACATCAATTTTCTCCTTCTTGAATTGGTATCATTATTTTCTTCCAAGAAGCCTAGCACACTTTTGTTGTTGTCATTGAAAGAGGGCATATAAGGGTTATGGCTGCTATTTGGAGAAATGCATTAGAAAATAAAAAGCTTGAAAAAGTTGTATTACTGAGAAAAAAGTTGAATGAAAATAAGAAAGATTAAATTGAAATAAATAATGAATCAGTAAGGTATGCACTGTTAAACACTTGATGGGATTTCCCAAGTATCAACATGCTGATAACTTGAAATAAGAATGGGAGAAAAGGTCAATATGAATTCTTAAAATGTTGAAGGCTGGGAATAAGAAGTAATATATCACAGAATCTGATAGAAAAATTTTTATTTATTTTATGGGAGAAAATGGGAGACTAACAGACAATAGGAATAGGAAAGAATAGAAATAGCAAAAAGAAGTGTATCTGCAATTATTAATATAATACAAGAGGACATTGTGTAGAGATATTTAAAGAAAGATTGATGAAATTTAGATTTATGGAGAAATATCCTAATAAAGACATTATTTATAATCAACTGTTCATCATTATTATATAATTCTGACATTTTTTAGGTTATAAATGTAAGGCAGAAAGATCTAATATAAAATGTATAAATGGGACAACATATAATTTTGCTTAGGAAGTTGAATAAATAAAGTAGTGATTTACGATTTGCATTAATATAAAAAAATTTAAAAAATGGTTTACATTTTGTTTGAAATGGATCATAAACAGGAAAAGAGTAATTTAGTACATTGAGTAATTTAGTACATTGGTCACCAAAGAAATACAAATTGAAACTATAAGATGCCTTCTCACATCTTTGTCAGATTTGCAGGTATAAAAACAGTAGTAGTTGTATTGGTTGGAGAACAGAAAGATGACACTTTCATATGCGGCTGATTAGAGCACAGATTGGTATATTATTTCTGAGATGCAATTTGAAAATATGTACCATCAGCCTCAAAGATGATTATGACCATGTGTCACTACTTTCTTGGAAATCATTATTAATGCATGTATAGATTGATGTTTACTGTAGTATTACTTAACTTAATGAGTTGAGTACAACCTTCACTCCCAAAAAACATGAGGTAGGGGTGAACTAGTTAAATATACAATCACAATGAGCTATGACAAAATGCAGTTAGTTAAAAGCACATTTATAAGACTATTAATGGCAATAAACATGATTTAATATAATGTTTTCAAAAATTAGGGGAATTCTATTCCCAGCATTGTGGTAGACTAAATTTGCTGAATCACTATCCTGCTATATGAAATCTACAAATACCAGATAAAATGTACATGTCATTTTTCAAAAGTATATTACTGACTTGAATAGAAATTAAGGTGAACCACATAGGCCAAGCATAAGGAGAATACATAAATCCAGAGAGGTATGCAGACCCCCAAACCAGAAGCTTCCATAAGGACAGTCCTGGCCCTAGTACCCTGAGCTTCAATTTTTATGACCACCTGGGATATGGGAGAGTGTGAGACAAAACCTAGTGCCTGCCCAGTATAGCAGTCTTACAGGAGAAAACTGCTGAAAGCCAGAGATACGAAGGACTATAATTTCAGGGAAAGGATAAACTAGATAAAAACCTGTTCCTCAGGGGGAGACAACCAGGAAATTTTCCTGCCTCAAACTCGGTGCTATTTAGAGGAAAAATGAGAAGGCCATCTTCACATGAATTTGTGGTTTAAATTTTCACTGTAAGTATAAGTTAAAAAAAACCCACACATGAAACTGATAATTTATTTTATAGTTATCCCATGTTGGTATTACCACCAAACACAAGACGAAGGCAAAGTGTCTTTGGAGAAACCCACATTCAGCCCATGTCTCAAAGAATGGCCACAGGTAAAATTTCATCCAAAATGAGAAAAAAGTAAGACTCTTACAAAACTCATGAGGAAATAAACATCATGAGCAGAAACAGAATTATGCCCATAAAGATTTCAGATATTAGGACGATTATATAACTATAAAAGCTGTGTTTAATATGTTTAAAAAATCAATGAGGTGTGCCAGGAATATAAATTGAGACAGTGTATGTATCTTATATTAAGCAGATTGAAACTGAATTTAAGAGATCTTTTAGAAATAAAAAATATAATGAAAATTAAAAACTAAATGGACAGGTTAAACACAATATTGGATAGAACCAAAAAGAAAATAAGTGAGTTGGAAGTTAGACTAAACAAATTATGCTGAAGACAGTACAGAGGAGGAAAGGAAAATGGATATGTGAAATAGAGGTTGAAAAATTAGAGTATCTAATCATATCTGCAAAAGAAAAATTGAATTGGGGGAAGGTTATATTTAAGGTTATATTTAATATCTGAGGGCTTTTCGTCATTGGAATTTATTAATGTTCAAGGAAACCTGGAAAGTTTTCTAACACATTAAAGGAGCTTTAATTATAAGTTCCAAATTCTTCTTAGAAGAAGAGAACCAGCAGGCCCAGACATTTTTACTGGTGAGTTCTATCAAATGTTTTCAAGAAATGGATTATTTCCATTTTATAAAAACAACTCCAGAATAAAAAAAGGTCCATTTGTTCGTTCATTTTATGAGGCCAGTACAACCTTGATACCAATGTTATATGAGAAATGTGTAAGACAGGAAAATTACATGCCAACTTTCCTCATGAACCTAACGGCAAACATTTTAAATTAAAAGTTAGCAAATTAAGTTTAGAAGTCTATAAAAAATATAGTATGAAAATTGTGTTTGTTCCATGAATGCAAGGATTTCTAACAATAGAAAAAAAAAACTATGTATAATTCATCACATTAACAAGTTAAAGGAGGAAAAGCAAATCATCATTGTAGGAGAGGCAAAAAGTGAATTCAATAAAATAAAATATTTAACTTTGACAAATCTTGTTTAGCAAACAAGAAATAGAAGAGCTTTCAGTGTTTGCTTATAAATCAGAAACTATTCTTCGTCTTTCAAGCAGAGGTGATTTAATACAGGTGATTGATTACACAAGTGATGGAAGCCAAACCAGGCTTGGTGAGTCAGCAGCCCATATTTAATATATTTATATATTAAATATTTAATTATACTTCAAAACTTTTATGTACACTATAATCTCATTATTGTTTTCTATACTATTATATGCAATATACAAATACAGAAATACAGAAATGTACCTCAGTTTGAAAGAGAATTTGAATATGAGGCAAAAAGATACCCCCAAATTATAGTTACATTACAAGAATTGAATTTAAGAAGGAAGAAGCAAATTGCAAGAGATAAGGCCAAGCCTCTTTAGTAATGATCATTCTAAATCCAATTGGTATAAATTTAGGAACGCACAACTGGATTGCAGTGTAACTAAGAAAGTTTGTGTGTCAATAACCATATTTATCCTATGTGAAGAAATAATAGTTTCATAGGAGAAGGTTAATTGGCATGGAGTCTGTAAAAGAGAAGTTTGGATAGATGATTGAGCTATGTATTTGTCAAATAATATCTAAAGGTAAAAAGAGATCTAGTTCACAGAGGCGAATCTCTGATTTTTTAATTTGCATTAACAGAAACAACATTGGAAGGGAGTATATTAAGATTTTAATAGTGACTATTTCTGCCAATGGTTTCTGTTTTATTGTTTACTATTTTTGGTATATTTCCAATGTTTCTTAATAAGTGTTTATTATTTAAAAAATGAGAAAACAGCAATGAGTAATTCAGTAAAATAACATTTTTCAAAATTGTGACTGCTATGATTATGAGCCAATTATGAAAGAAAGAGACACAGATAGAAATAGGGTGACCAATCTTTCAACTTACTCAGGAATGAAGGATTTTCTGGATGGGGGATTTTTGTTGCTAAAATCGGGACAGTAGGGGACATATTGGGACTGTGGAAAAACCCTACAGGGATTTATTTCCTAACTATGAATTTCTATCTTGGTCTAGAGACGACTGTTCTCATAAATAGGTAGAATAGATGTGGTATTTCTGGAATGAGATTTAACATCTTTACGTAGCTTGCCCTATTAAAAGTAGACAAATGCTTGTGAGAGAATATCATATACTTTTGAAAGCTAATGTCTTAACTAATTCGCTGTGAGCAAAGCTCTTGAAGACTGTGATGTAACAGAGATTCCTAGGTATCAGTGAAGATACGGAGATGAAAAAGGGAAGTTGAAAAAAGAAGCTGAGAGATAAGCATGGAAATCATTTTCCAAACTCATTTTTCCAATCTCCATTTTCCTGTATTGAGAAGTGAAAATATGTTTTCTAGAGATAAAGTTCTAGAAATGAACTCTGACATAGATATTTTAAAACCCATTTCAGAAACAAAATAATATGTGAACCTAGAGTAGTTGTAATTTATGTCCTTTTGTCTGTCTTTATCCTGTAGTTAAGTTTCCCTTGGGATCTCTTTGGGAAAATGGAGTACTGCATTTTACAAGGCAGGACTTGAATTTTCGTTCTTTTCCTTCTTTCTCTCTCTCTTTCTTTCTTTCCTTTTCTTCTTTCTTCTTTCTCTCTTTTTCTTTCTTTCTTCCTTTCTTTCCTTCCTTTTTCTTTTCTTTCTTTCTCTCTTTCTTTCTTCCTCTCTCTCTTTTTCTCTTCTTTCTTTCTTTCTTTGTTCCTTTCTTTCTTCTTTCTTTCTTCTTTTCCTTCCTTCCTTCCTTCCTTCCTTCCTCTTCTTCCTTTCTTTCTCCTTTCTTTTTCTTTTTTTTTTGACATGATCTCACTTTGTCACCCAGGCTAGAGTGCAGTGATGTGATCATAGCTTAATGCAGCCTCTCTGTCCTGGGCTCAAGCAATCCTCCCACCTCAGCTTCCAGAGTACCTGGGGCTACAGCTGTGTGCCACCACGCCCAGCTAAAGGACTTGAATTTTCTTACATATCTTGGCCCTATAGAGTGGTTCTCAACCTTGGCTGCACATGTCTATTACCTGAGAAAAGTTTTAAATAACCTAATACTCAGGTCACACCCTAGACTTTAGGGGTGAGACAAGCATTAATATTTTTTAACACTCTTAGAATTAAGAGCCACTAATATTGTAGCACTGCAATTCCTATAAAGAGAACAGATGTGAGTCGATTTGTTACAGTATTGTTGTATTCATCTGTTTTCATGCTGCTGATAAAGACATACCTGAGACCGGGCAATTTACAAAAGAAAGAGGTTTAATGGACTTACAGTTCCACATGGGTGGGGAGGCCTCACAATCATGGTGGAGGACAAAGAGGAGCAAGTCACATCTTACATGGATGGCAGCAGGCAAAGAGACAGCTTGTGCAGGGAAACTCCCATTTTAAAAATGATCAGATCTCATGAGACTTACTCACTAACCCAAGAACAGCACAGGAAAGACCCATCCTCATGATTCAGTTATCTCCCACTGGGCCCCTCCCACAACATGTGGGAATTATGGGAGCTACAAGATGAGATTGGGTGTGGACACAGCCAAACCATATCAATTGTCATCACTCAAGGCAGATGAGTATATAGAAAGCTATCAGTTGTAAGGAATTGGACTAAGTTTAAGAGAATAATAATTAAGATAGAACAAATGTTTGGTCCTGCTTAAGGGCTAGGATAGATGAGGCACAATAGAATCATGTGGGGAGCTGTAAAAATGCCCAGGCCCTACTCTGTGTCAATTAAATCAGAATCCAGAATCTCTGCTTGAGTGTGTCTAGAGTATTGGTCAAAGGAAACAGTGATTTTGATGTGCAGCCAGTTAAGAGCTGATATTCTCAAGGATCATGATGTGACACAGCTGTTTCAGAAGGGTAAATCTCCATACTCCCACTTTAGAAGAAAAGAAAAGGCAAAATGACAAAACAATCAAGCAAAAGGGCTGGAAGAGCTGGTAGATAACAGGGTGTCAACTTGAATTAATTCAGCTCTTTGGTAAAGATTAGCTGGAGTAAAGAAATTCCAGTTAGTCAAATGGGATGAATGTCCTTTCATGGAAACCATATCATGCTTTTTGAATGATCTGAGAAAGACTGGAAGCATTAGAGGTGAAGTATATCCATTTGCTCAATGGGAAAAGATTTTGTTTTATTTTATTTACATAATGTGATATGCTTGGCCATCTGCAGTAGTGCCTGAAAGGGGATGTAAAACGGAAAATGTAGTCAGTGAGACTGATTAATAACCATGGGTAGAAAAATAGGCCAAGTGGAAAAACTTATTCATATAATTGCTTCATTTTGCTGACTGCAAAAGGATTTGTTTTGGAAGTGATTTCTGCTCTTTAACCTAGTGGATTGATAGATCACAGAAAGGTCTTAGAAATGACATTACGTAATTTTGTTCGTAACATGAAATTAGCTTGAATCAAAAAATGTATACCATTTTTTTGTATCTACCTTCTAAGACATTTGTCTTGAGAAATTAATGATTCTACAACATAAATAGTCATTGTGAAAGGAAGGAAAAAGATAACAGAGGGCTTTCATAATAATCATGGACTCAAGATTATCTAATTTAAAAAGACATATCTCATTTTCCTTTATTTAAACATAAAACAAATGAGAGAAAACAGAAATAGCTCATAATTTTATTTATCTGATAAAACATGCTGACATAAAAATATAATTCATGCACCCAGTAAGAAAATCAAAAAGTTAAATAAAGGTAAAAATGAAATATAAAATTCTCTTTCCTCCTGTCTCTTACCCCCAGACATCTAGAATCTCTCCTTAAGATAATCACTGTTGACAATTTCTTGAGTATCTTTTTAAAAATGACCTTAATACACATCCCCCGTATAGAATATAGATCTTAAACAAGGTAGAAAATAAAATTTTATCTTTTAGTATTACACAAAAGGATGTTCAGAACTAGGCTTTGTATTTTTTTTTTCTAGAGATGAGGTCTCACTGTGTTGCCCAGGTTGGTCTCAAACTCCTGGGCTCAAGCAATCCTCCCACCTCAGTCTCCAAAAGTGTTGGGATTATAAGCATGAGATGAAGTCTTGCCTGGCCTAGGCATTCTATTTTTGTTTAATAATTTACCTTCAAGATATTCTTAACTTTTAACAACTGTATTGTATAAATATATTTTTTATTAAAACAATAGGCTACCAATAACATTAATAACATATCTTGGTTTATGTATTTTACAAGATTCTCCATGTGATAAATTCCAACCTGAGAAGTTGCTATACAACATATGAATTTAACATTTTTTAATTGCTGCGATCTAATATGATCCTAAAACATGGCCCTAGTTTATATTCCTATGAGAATGTCTAATACCTACACTCTTGCTAACATTGACTGCTATTGCATTTTAAAGACGCATTAATTTGATTGGATTGATGTTGAACATCTTCTGTTACTCCTGGCCATTGCATTTCTTTTTCTACCTATTAATCTCCCTTGTATAATATTGCATTATTTGTCTTTTTTGTCTCATTTATCGACAAAGATTAAAGTTATTGGCAGTAGTGAAAATGGAGAAAAAAATCAAAATTCAAATACTGTAGAGTACAATATTTTGGAGAATAATTTGATTCTATATATTGAAATTTAAATTGTCTTTAATCTTTGACCCAGTTATTCTATTTCTAGTAATTTTTCTACCCAAATAATAATTCAGGAAGGAAACCTTTACAGAGATTATTCTTATAATGTTTGTGATACAATATTTACAGGCAACATAAATTCTCATCCAGAGATCGGAGTAAATATTATATAGTATATCTGTAGAATGAAATGTACCTTGCTGTTTAAATGAATAAATTAGTTATTATCATAAAATAAATGTCATGTAAAGACATTTATTTTATGGTGTATAAAATTAGAAAAACAAGTTATTAAAAATAACATGATTTTTTGTAAAATGCTTTTATTTTGTTTTTAATTGACATAATAATTGCACATGTTTATGGGGTACAGTGTGGTGCTTTAGTGCATGTGTACATTGCGTAATGGTCAAATTTAAAAATTAAATGTATTGATAGAAAAAGTGTTTGGATATTTGTATCCTAAATGCTAACAGTGATGATATCTGGAATGTGGAACTGCTGGTAATTTTTCCCTTTTTCTTTTAGAGATTTTTGTACTTATTTTTAATAATAAACATATACTAATTTTATAATAAAAATAACAATGAAGTCCTTTCCATTTTGAAAAATTAATTCCAATAGAAAAATACTGTACTCGAGCCACTTTCCAGGGTTTTCTTATTCTTAGTGCTGGTATAAGGTACCAGTGATATTATATTTTCAGATATGTTTGGCTTTTCTGCCTTATGGTTGAAGATGAGCTTAGGAAGTATTGCTGCCTAATTTTCAGGCTTTTGAGCCAATGCTTGGTGCACAAAAAGCACCACATCAACTTTAAACAGAATATTCTGCTTCTTTAGACTGTATTTCCTACTTTTTATAGTATTTATTAGCGCCAGAACTCTGTGACTGTTTCCCAAAGAACAAGAGAGAAGGATCAAGGAAAGTGAGAAGCAATGAAACTAGATTTAATTAATACTCTGGCTTGTCAGCAGCTTTCATGAAAGATTTGTTTGTTGAAGAAGTTGAACCTATTAGCTTAAACAGGGATTAACTCTGCCAACTCTGACAGAGCATGGACAATTAAGAGTTTATTGGAAATTAATTGAAAATAATACAGTGTTGTGAGGTGGGATGAAGATGATTTCCTTTAAGGAAATTATGCCAAGTGTTTTGAATCAGCCAAGGATAAACAAATGCAGACTATCATTTGATGGAGGTATTATAAACTGATAACATGATTCGAAGTATAAGAATGGCAAATTGTGAAGAATGAATAAAATTACAGAGATAAATAGCAAAAATGTGAAACTAAAATAAAGAGGAACAGTGAGTAAACGGGGTTAGCTGAGAATATGGTTTAACAGGGCATACTCTATTCATTTATGAAGAAATTTTAATCCTCAAAATGCTACTTGTCTTAGTCTGTGTAGGCTGCTGTAACAAAATACCACAAGCTGAGTAACTTATAAACAACAGAAATTTCTTACAGTTGTGCAGGCTGGGAAGTCCAATATCAAGGCAGATTCAGCATCTGGGGTGAGGTTCACCCTTCTGGCTCATAGATGGCAACTTCCTGCTGTATCCCCATACTTTGGAAGGGGCCAATGAGCTCTCTGGGATCTCTTTTATAAGGGCACAAATTCCATTCATGAGAATCTTGTCCTCATGGCCTAATCACCTCCCCAAGGCTCTATCTCCTAACACGAGTAGCTTGGGGGTTAGGATTTCAATATACAAATTTGGGGGGACATAAACAGTCAGTCTGTGACATTGCCATTTCATCAGTAAGAATTTTCATGAACTCACTATTAAGATTTATGTTTAGGTTTTTTATGCGGATGTTCTCACTTTATAATATTGTTTGTCTGCATAGTTTAAAGAAAAGGACAATGCCCAATTAGAACAGGAGGTGTCTTTTGTTGGCCAGCAAAATATTTTAAGATGCCTTGAGTGTGACCCTACATAGAGATCATCAAGGTAACATCATTTTGTTCTTGTTCTAGATCCACATGTTTCACTCAAGATCCCAGAAAGAAAATGTATGAAAACACATTGGAAGACAATAATCCATCCTTACAATGCTAGCCAATGTTTATTATTGCTTTCTATGTGTGAGGAATTGTGTTAAACACTTAAAAAGATGTTATCCCTCATAATTATCATAACACCTGAAGAAGTAGGTGGGGTGATTTTCTCCAATTTAGATATTATAGGAACTGAAACACTTGCCCACTAAACAGGCAATTGAAAGAGATAGGATTTCTATAGAAAGTTACCAGCTCCACAGCTAGTGTTCCTATTCTCATCATTAGTGTTCCCTTAGTGGTTTTGATATTACACCTAATACTATTTAATACAAAATTAAAGCATCCACCCTATTCTGGGATTTACCATCAAGAATAGAGCACTGAGCCTGATAAACAGTATCCACTTTGGAATGCATGTTTCTATCCAGCTACTTAATATGACATAAGTTCATTGGACATTAAGGCCAGATTTCTTGACATGCTTTACCTTCAAATTAACAAGTTTGGCTTATTCAATTGTGGACCTTTAACCCTTAGGCCAGATAGTATATGAGGCCTAGAGTAGTGGAAAAAGGTAACTGGATTTACAAAATTTGACTCTTCAAATTCTGTAAGAATTCAATATATTGAGGAACGTTTAGGTGCATAGTAAAATTATAATTTCATATTGTTGCACAGACTCAGGCAGATGAAAGAGACTCCAATAGTGGTCAGGTAGTACCCAGACAGTCAGTTGATTGTCTCTGTGCTGAAAGGATTTAAAAATGAAGAAGAGTTTGCTCCAATGTATGTTTCAATATCTCATTGTTTTACAATAATATTTGAAATAATACCTAGGAACCCAACTTACAAGGGATGTGAAGGACCTATTCAAGGAGAACTACAAACCACTGCTCAAGGAAATAAAAGAGGACACAAACAAATGGAAGAACATTCCATGCTCATGGATAGGAAGAATCAATATCGTGAAAATGGCCATACTGCCCAAGGTAATTTATAGATTCAATGCCATCCCCATCAAGCTACCAATGACTTTCTTTACAGAATTGGAAAAAAACTACTTTAAAGTTCACACGGAAACAAAAAAGAGTCCGCATTGCCAAGTCAATCCTAAGCAAAAAGAACAAAGCTGGAGGCATCACGCTACCTGACTTCAAACTAGACTATGAGGCTACAATAACCAAAACAGCATGGTACTTGTACCAAAACAGAGATATAGACCAATGGAACAGAACAGAGCCCTCAGAAATAACACCACACATCTACAACCATCTGATCTTTGACAAACCTGACAAAAGCAAGAAATGGGGAAAGGATTCCCTGTTTAATAAATGGTGCTGGGAAAACTGGCTAGCCATATGTAGAAAGCTGAAACTGGGTCCCTTCCTTACACCTTATACAAAAATTAATTCAAGATGGATTAAAGACTTACATGTTAGACCTAAAACCATAAAAACCCTAGAAGAAAACCTAGGCAATACCATTCAGGACACAGGCATGGCAAGGACTTCATGTCTAAAACACTGAAAGCAATGGCAATAAAAGCCAAAATTGACAAATGGGATCTAATTAAACTAAAGGGCTCCTACACAGCAAAAGAAACTACCATCAGAGTGAACAGGCAGCCTACAGAATGGGAGAACATTTTTGCAATCTACTCATCTGACAAAGGGCTAATATCCAGAATCTACAATGAACTCAAACAAATTTACAAGAAAAAACAAACAACCCCATCAACAAGTGGGCGAAGTATATGAACAGACACTTCTCAAAAGAAGACATTTATGCAGCCAACAGACACATGAAAAAATGCTCATCATCATTGGCCATCAGAGAAATGCAAATCAAAACCACAATGAGATACCATCTCACACCAGTTAGAATGGCGATCATTAAAAAGTCAGGAAACAACAGGTGCTGGAGAGGATGTGGAGAAATAGGAACACTTTCACACTGTTGGTGGGACTGTAAACTGGTTAAATCATTGTGGAAGACAGTGTGGTGATTCCTCAAGGAACTAGAACTAGAAATACCATTTGACCCAGCCATCCCATTACTGGGTATATACCCAAAGGATTATAAATCATGCTGCTATAAAGACACACGCACACGTATGTTTATTGCGGCACTATTCACAATAGCAAAGACTTGGAACCAACCCAAATGTCCAACAATGATAGACTGTATTAAGAAAATGTGGCACATATACACCATGGAATACTATGCAGCCATAAAAAAGGATGAGTTCATGTCCTTTGTAGGGACATGGATGAAGCTGGAAACCATCATTCTCAGCAAACTATCACAAGGACAAAAAACCAAACACCGCATGTTCTCACTCACAGGTGGGAATTGAACAATGAGAACACATGGATACAGGAAAGGGAACATCACACACTGGGGCCTGCTCTGTGGTGGGGGGCTGGGGGAGGGATAGCATTAGGAGATATACCTAATGTAAAAGATGAGTTAATGGGTGCAGCACACCAACATGGCACATGTATACATATGTAACAAACCTGCACGTTGTTCACATGTACCCTAGAACTTAAAGTATAATAAAAAAAAATTAAAATATTCTGCAGTCACAGTGACTGTCTTGGCTTCTCTTAATTTATGAGGACCTTTGTCTTATAGACTCTTTTCTTTAAAAAAAGATGGGGTCTTGCTATGTTGTCCATGCTGGAGTGCAGTGGCTATTCACAGGCTTGATCATTGCATACTACAGTCTGGAACTCCTGGACTCAAGTCTCCCAGTGGCTGGGAATACAGGTGAGTGCCTACCACACCTAGCCTGATTTACAGATTTTTGACATCTATTATAGTTAAATGTATTTTCAGCATTTGCATATTAAAGGAATAATATTGATGCTTAACTTCATTAGTGATCAGGGAATTCCAAATTTTAAAAAAATTTTTTCATCTCTTATAGTATATTTAAAAATTCATTGCTGATAAGGATTCAGGGATGCCAACATTGTACATTGGTAGTGAAAATGTAAATTGGAAACTTTCTGTAATCTGACAGTAATTATTTTTTTAAAAATCCTTTTGAACTTGCAGTTCTACTTTTGGGATTTGAATTTATGGAAAGTAAAGTGCCAGTGAGAAAGAATATTGTTGCCCCTTGAACAATATAGGGTTAGGGGAGCTGGCCTCCCACACAGTGAAAAATCTGCATACAAATTTTGATTCCCCCCAAACTACTAATAACCTATTGTTGACCAGAAGGCTTACTGATAACATGCGTTACATTTAAGACATATTTTGCATGCTATGTGTATTATATACTGTATTCTTACAATAAACTAAGCTACAGAAAAGAAATTATAGTCAAGAAAATTGTAAGGAAGAGAAAATATATGACCCATTCATTAAGTGGAAGTGGATCATCCTAAAGGTCTTCATCATTGTTGTGTTCATGTTGAGTAGGCAGAGGAGGAGGAGGAGGAGCTGGTCTTTGTGTCTTAGGGTAGCAGAGGTGGAAGAGGGTGAAGGGATGGAAGGGGAAGCAAAAGAGGCAAGCACACTTGGTGAGACTTTACAAAAATACATCATTATTTCTGTCTATTTTGCTTTTTCATTTCTCTAAAAACATTTCAGTGTAGTACCTATCCGTCTTCCACCATTTGCTTTAGTTTCAGTTCCTGTATCATGGAACGGTCTATGTCATAAAAGAAGTCAAAAGTAGTCTTGAATAATCAAAGTTCTTTTGCCAGATTGTTGAATGCCAATTTGTTTTCTGGCACTGCTTTTCCTATGTCTTCTTCCTCATTATCTGGCACTGGTTAGGAAGCACTCATCTCCATGAAGTCATCTTTTGTTAATTCCTCTGGTGTGGTGTGTATTAGCTCTTAAATTCCTCCAAGATCCATATCTTACAACCCTTCACTCCACACCTTTTTTTCCCTTCATATCCATACTTCTTTCCATGGTTTTCTCTAAATTGGGTTTGTCGTAATTCTGTAGCTATGCACAACATCTGGACACAAATTGTACTTTTGTCCAGCAGGAATTTATTGTTTTGAGTTTCATGGTTTTCTATATCAACTGATGACATCTTGAAAGGTGTAAGCCTCCCAGACTTCCATGATGTTCTCTCTATTGGGTTTCTCTTTTGGAATGTTGACAAATCTTTCCATAGAGTGCCATATGTAGAGCCTTAAAGGTCCTTATGACTCCCTTATCTAGAAGCTGAAGTAGAGATGTGTTTGGGGGGAAAGGAGAACACTTCAGTGCCTTTGGTGTTGAACTCATGGGGTTCTGGGTGGCCAGGGGGCATTTTCCAATTAAACAACAACAACAACAAAAAACTTTAAAAAGCAGTCCCTTATTGGCAAGGTACTTCTGACTTCAGGGACAAAGCATTGATGGAACTAATCCAGAAAAAGCATTCTCATAGTCCAGGCCTTCTTGTTGTACAACCAAAAGACTGGCAACTAGTGTTTCTCTTTTCCCTTTCAAGACTCAGGGGTTAGCAGCTTTATAGTTAAGGGCAGCCCTGATCATAAACCCGACTACATTTGCACAAAGCAGTAGAGTTAGCCTATCCCTTCCTGCCTTAAATCTTGGTGCTTGCTTCTGTTCCTTACTAATAAATGACCTTACTAATAAATGATTCTCCTGCCTCAGCCTCCCTAGTAGCTGGGACTACCGGTGCCCGCCATGACGCCCGGCTAATTTTTGTATTTTTATTAGAGACGAGGTTTCACCATGTTGGTCAGGCTGGTCTCAAACTCCTGATCTCAAGTGATCCACCCACCTCAGCCTCCCAGAGTGCTGGGATTACAGGTGTGAGCTACCGCGCCCAGCCCGCACCTGCAGCTTAATCCCATTTCGCTGGTGCAACTTCATCCTTCCGTATGCTCAGGCCAATAAACAGTACTGTAGGCTGGTCGTTCTTTGACCCCCATACATCCTATTGGTCGGAAAATTATGTTTTCTCTTTGGTTAACCGCAGACTTTGATATGCACACTCTTTCTTGGTCTGAAACCCACCCAATAGTCCCATACGTAGATTTTTGGATAAACATAGAATTGGACCCTTCTGATCTGAAAGTTTGAAACTCGATATTTGTTTTATTTGAGTTCCTTCCTTCAGGCCTCTCAAAAAAGATATCAAAGAACTGAAAGTCACCCAGACAATGAGATGCCGGACCCCTCATTCATCCTGATTGCTTCCTTGCCCCTCCCTAGTTCCTGTTTTCTTTCTTTTCTTTCTTTTTTTTTTTTTTTTTTTCTTTTTGCGACAGAGTCTCCCTCTGCCTCCCAGGCTGGAGTGCAGTGGCGCTATCTTGGCTCACTGCAAGCTCCGCCTCCCGGGTTCACGCCATTCTCCTGCCTCAGCCTCCCGAGTAGCTGGGACTACAGGCGCCCGCCACCACGCCCGGCTAATTTCTTTTCGTATTTCTAGTAGAGACGGGGTTTCACCATGTTAGCCAGGATGGTCTCGATCTCCTGACCTCGTGATCCGCCCGCCTCGGCCTCCCAAAGTGCTGGGATTACAGGCGTGAGCCACCGCGCCTGGTCTAGTTCCTGTTTTCTTACACATTGTCACATTCTTTCCCTGCCATCTAAGCCTCTAGTTTTGGTTGGTCAGGGAGATGGATTTGAGACTGAGTTCTCATCTCCTCCGCTGCAGCACCCTATTAAAGCCTCTTCCTTGGCAATAACCGTCTCAGTGATCGGTTTTCTGTGTGGCAAGCAGCGGGAACCCCAGGTCTCTGAACTTTGGCAAAGGAATCTCCTGATAAAGGCGGGATCGATTTTACTGACCAAGCTGAAAACGATCAGACGTTTGAAAGCCTTAATCTCGGAGCCTGTCGGAGTTTGGTCTGCCCTTGAGGCTTTTCTTTGAGCCTACCAGTCAAAATCAGCCTGGCCAAACCTGTCTTCAAGGACCAGGGGCAGGGCCGGCTTCTCCCGCCGGGTCGGCAGCCACCTTCCCCTTCCCTGTGACTTGAAGAGAAGCTTCAGGGGGCGTTTATTCAATTTGCGAGGAGCCCGCGAGGCGCAGGTGCGCGGTGACTCTGTGGTTCCCACCGCACCCGCTGCCCTCTTTGGTCCTCTCGCTGTCACCGGCGGGCAGTAACGTTCCGGGTGAGCTAGGGCTCCGAAGACAGCAGGCAGGGAGGGACCAGTGGGTAAGGGCACCGCCCGTTTAGGTCCTGCGCAGGAGGGATCCGAAAAAGGTCTTGAAGAAATAGAAAGGGAGGGCCAGATGCGGTGGCTCACGCCTGTAATCCCAGCACTTTGGGAGGCCGAGGTGGGTGGATCACGAGGTCACGAGTTCGAGACCAGCCTGGCCAAGATGGTGAAACCCTGTCTCTACTAAAAATACAAGTAGCTGGGCGCGGTGACGGGCGCCTGTAATCCCAGCTACTCAGGAGGCTGAGGCAGGAGAATCTCTAGAACCCAGGAGGCGGAGGTTGCAGTGAGCTGAGACTGCCCCGCTGCACTCTAGCCTGGGCAACACAGCAAGACTCTGTCTCAAATAAATAAATAAATAAATAAATAAATAAATAAATAAATAAAAAGGGAGAGTTGGAAGTAGATCAAAGAGAAGAAAAGAAATCCTAGATTTCCTATCTGAAGGCACCATGAAGATGAAGGCCACCTCTTCTGGGCCAGGTCCTCCCGTTGCAGGTGAACCGAGTTCTGGCCTCCATTGGAGACCAAAGGAGATGACTTTGGCCTGACTCCTAGTGAGGAAGCCATGCCTAGTCCTGTTCTGTTTGGGCTTGATCCTGTAGCACTTGATTGTCTCTCCTGGACTTTCCATGGATTCCAGGGATGCAACTGAGAAGTTTGTTTTTAATGCACTTACTTGAAGTAAGAGTTATTTTAAAACATTTTAGCAAAGGAAATGAATTCTGACAGGTTTTGCACTGAAGACATTCACATGTGAGGAAAACAGGAAAACCACTACGCTAGAAAAAGCAAATGCTGTTGAGATTGTCTCACAAACACAAATTGCGTGCCAGCAGGTAGGTTTGAGCCTCAGGTTGGGCACATTTTACTTTAAGTGCACTGTTGGTGGAACTTAAGGTGACTGTAGGACTTATATATACATACATACATATAATATATATACATATTTATGTGTATACACACACACACACACACACACACACACACACACACACACACACACAGGGTCTTGCTATCTTGCCCAGGGTGGTCTCCAACTCTGGGTCTCAAGCGATCCTCTGCCTCCCCTTCCCAAAGTGCTGGGATTACAGGTGTGAGCCACCTCGCCCAGGCCATTTTAATTTTAATTTAATACTTTTAATTTGAATACACAATCCAAAAATCATATAACAAGTACAGGAAACCCACTTTATGCCAAGTTTACAAAAACAGGAAAGATATGTCAATGACAAAGCGTCAAAGTGGCAACATCCTAAAGTACTGAGAGAAAAAAAGTTATTCTAGAATTCTATGCCAAATTGAAATATCTTTCAAAAATGTGACTGAAATCAGGACATTTAAAGACATACAAAAAAATGACAGAATTCACCGAACCACACTACAAGAAATATTAAAGGAGTCCTCCAGGCCTAAGGATAAGGATACCAAACAGAAATCTGAACCTACACAAAGAAATGGAGACGACTGAAAATCGCTATGTACGTACTTGGATGTTGGGGTTTATAACATGTCCAAAATCAAATTCCCTGACAACACTAACATAAAGGCCAGAAGGGGAGGTATAATGTCACTTGATGGCAGACGGATAAAGATGTATTCTAGGGACCCTAAAGCCATCACTGACATAACAAAAGAAAGAGTTACAGCTAATAAGCCAAATAAGGAAAGAAAATAGAATGATATATAAAAAAAAAACATGTAATCGCTGGGTGCGGTGGCTCATGCCTGTAATCCCAGCACTTTGAGAGGCCAAGGCAGGCAGATCACTTGAGGTCAGGAGTTTGAGACCGGCCTGGCCAAAACGATGAAACCCCGTCTCTACTAAAAATACAAAAATTAGCCCGATGTGGTGGCTCGCGCGGACCTGTAATCTCAGCTACTTGGGAGGCTGAAGCAGGAGATTCGCTTGAACCCGGGAGGCGGAGGTTGCAGTGAGAGCTGAGATGGCGCCACTGCACTCCAGCCTGGGTGACAGAGCGAGACTCTGTCTCAAAAATAAATAAATAAATAAATAAATAAACAAACAAACAAACAAACAAAAACTGTGTAATCCCTATGCTGGAGCAACTGCTCTCCAGGCCTCTACCCTATAGAAATACACAAATGGCCAATGAGAAGTGTACAAGAATGATCACTGCCGAATTATTTGCAATCATAAAATAGTAGCGCCAAAGTAATTTCAAAGATACATGAAAATCGTTTTATTTATTTAACAAACACAAACAATTGAACAAACAATGGAAGCAAGTCCTTTTGCCTAAAGGAACACAGAGGGTCATGCGGATGTTGCTCCTCCAAGGATTTCGGTGTTCCCCAACGGCTAGTTTTGGGTCTAGTTCTTCTGGAAGATCTTATTCTTGGGGAGCTACAGGTTCTGGCGTTTGGGGCTCTTTCAGGTTCTATCTCCATTTTCCCCTCAATTCCTCCCCATTCTGCTATAATAAAAAAAAATTCTCACCTCCGGAAGATCCCGCCTGTGCCTCCCCGCCAGCCTTTCAGGAGGTCTGGACGTCTGGTCCACCGCTCCCCGGCTTCTTTCCCCGCTTTTGCTTTTCCCCTCCCCTGCTCCCGCCCTCCGGCCTCAGGACCCGACCACCGCCCAGCTGAGCCCCCGCGGCTCCACGGCGCAGAAGGGGCACTGGAGGCCCTGCCCGTTGCCGCCCCGCGGGGTGCCAAGAAGTCCACGTAAATAAATGCTTTGTAAAAGGAACTTCCCCATGGAAAAATCTCTCATGATTTCTTCTCAAGGCTCTTCAAAGGACTAAAAGCTAAAAGGATGGATTCATTCGACAAGTCCTAGTCCTGCGCCCTGGTGAGTGCCAGACCCTGCTCCCCGCGAGGGGGACCCACGAGCCACCCTCACCACGATCCCTGCCCTGGTGGAGCCCCCGTGCGGAACACAGGATCCGAAGATGGCAGCGGAAGCTCCGCAGCGGCCCCAAAAGCGACTGGGCAGGGAGGGCACAGGCTCCCTCACTGGGTGAAGGCGGCGCAAAGAACGGGAAGAGCCATCCCGGGAGCCACCGGGCGTTCAGCCTCCCTAGGGCCCCCAGGCGGTTCGGGCCGGGGTCTCAACCGGGGCGTTTCCGGGGGTTTCTGAAGCAGGTGAGGGGCAGGGCGGGCGAAGGCCATTCGGCTATCCTTCTGGCTCCAGAATCTCCCAACGCGCAGGTGTCCAACGTGACCAGCGCGACTTACCGCTCCAATCTCTCCGGTCTTCCAAGGCCTGCTCAGTCGTCCTGCCGGGCGGGCCCTGAGGATGCAAGGGACGGAGGAAGTTTCGTGCGTGCGCCCTTCCTATAGCGCCCAGTAGAACTGACAGTACCTGTCTCTGTGGCGCAATCGGTTAGCGCGTTCGGCTGTTAACCGAAAGGTTGGTGGTTCGAGCCCACCCAGGGACGCTTGTTTGAGCTTTTAAAGTATTCATGCATTGTCAATCACTAGATAAATGGGGAAGATTTTATCTTCCTGGAGTCCTAAGCCACTAATTTGTGACTTATCCATGTCAAGGGCCAGCCCACCTCCCCAACCGGATTCTTAACCGGGTATCTCCTGAAATCCTGGGTTTATACGTGTGTAACTCAGGAATCCTGAAACAGAGACCTAGGAACCCACTTCTGGTGTGATAAAATTCTAATTCAGTCCGTTATACGCTTAAACGAGTAATTTACATGCCTTCATTTTTTCATATGTTAATAATAGGAGGTCAGTAATATCCCGAGGATGTGCCTGGATTTACTGATTGCTCTATCAATAATGTGACCAGTGGAATCATTCATCATCATAGTGATCCTCTCCATCATTTTTGAAAAAGAGTATTTTTCCTCAGTTTGTGCATGATTTATTTAACCCTTTTCAAAATGTTTTTGTTAGCCAGGCATGGGGGCATGTGCCTGTAATCCCAGGTACTTGGGATTCTGAGGCAGGAGAATCATTTGAACCTGGGAGGTGGAGGCTGCAGTGGAGGCTGCACCAGTGGAGGCTGCACCACTACACTCCCGCCTGGGCAACAGAGCGAGACTCCATCTCAAAAAAAAAATAAAAATAAAAAAATAAAGTTTTTGAGATGAGGTAGGTTTCATTGTTTTAGGATTACAAAGAATGCTGCAGCCACCTTTCTTGTACACATGTCTTTGGTCATTGTGGAAATGTCTACACCGCAGATATTTCTATAGTGTAGGGAAGTTGATGCACTATTGCTACATTATAGGGTTTACATGATGCTTCTAATTTGAGTACATTCTGCAAATGTATCTTTCACGGGAGCCGTACCAAATAATATTCCAATAGCAATATTTATAGGAGGAAAAATGTGCAGAAGTGCAATTGAGCTTCGTGCCTCTCCATGGGGCCCATGTTCATAAAATGGTGGCATTAGCAATCATCTGAGAGTGGAGATTGTGGCCCTCTGACATCAAAAGCTGAAGCAGAGGACATGAAAACCCTCACTGTGCATCCTCTCTAGTCTGGCCAGAATCATTCCTAGGTCGGTGGTCTCTTATCAGGAGGGAATGCTGCTTGCTTGTTTTGTCAACATCACAAAACTGAGGAAAAGCATCAGGCCGTTGGTTGGTAACAGTGGTGAAGCAAGTCTTTCCAAAGGGCTGGTTTGTTGTTAACCCTTAGGGAAAAAAAAAGCCTAATTCTTTTTTTTTTTTTTTTTTTTTTTGAGACGGAGTCTCTCTCTGTTGCCCAGGCTGGAGTGCAGTGGCGCGATCTCGGCTCACTGCAAGCTCCGCCTCCCGGGTTCAGGCCATTCTCCTGCCTCAGCCTCCCGAGTAGCTGGGACTACAGGCGCCCGCCACCACGCCCGGCTAATTTTTTTTATTTTTAGTAGAGATGGGGTTCTACCGTGTTAGCCAGGATGGTCTCGATTTCCTGACCTCGTGATCCGCCCGCCTTGGCCTCGCAAAGTGCTGGGATTACAGGCATAAGCCACCGCGCCCGGCCAAAAAAGCCTAATTCTTACCAGCTGGTGCCGTGCAGTTCCAGGCTCTTGGTGTCCCAAACAAAGAACTGTACATGACACACACAAAGCAGCAAAGCAAAGCAAAAGTTTATTAAGCACAGTAACACTCTCAGAGTGGGGAGGGTGGGCTGACCTCTGGGAGATGAGATCAGTATTAGTTTGGTGTACTTGGGGTCTTTTGTGTTTGTGTGTGTGTTTTTCCTTCTCTTCACAAGGATGCCTACTGTGTTTGTTTGTTTGTTTGTTTGTTTGTTTGTTTGTTTGATGAGGCGGAGTCTCGCTCTGTCACCCAGGCTGGAGTGCAGTGGCACGATCCTGGCTCACTGCAAGCTCTGCCTCACGGGTTCATGCCATTCTCCTGCCTCAGCCTCCCCAGCAGCTGGGACTACAGGCGCCTGCCACCACGCCCGACTAATTTTTTTGTATTTTTAGTAGAGACGTGGTTTCACCGTGTTAGCCAGGATGGTCTCGATCTCCCGACCTCACGATCCGCCCGCCTTGGTCTCGCAAAGTGCTGGGATTACAGGCGTGAGCCACTGTGCCCGGCCAAGGATGCCTAATCTTTAGCCACTCTTTGCCTTTTGATTGATAGGTGGGTTGCTTAGTTACTTTGGCCCTTGTGTGCTTGAATGCTGCTTCCATCCCATAATTTTAAGTACATGCATGATATGCAGTCTGTATGCATGAGCTTTAATGAGCTGATTATCATATGAAGTCATGTTAAGGATACTTTTTCTCTCTAATGCACATGCCTGTCTCTGAAGAGCTGCCCCTTTCCTGGTTTGGATCTTGCTGGCCATGGGGTCCTTACTTGCTTTTTTTTTTTTTTTAAGACAGGGTCTCGCTCTGTTGCCCAGTCTGGAGTGCAGTGGCACGATCTTGGCTCACTGCAACCTCTGCCTCCTGGGTTCAAGCAATTCTCCTGTCTCAGCCTCCTGAGTAGCTGGGAGTACAGGAGTGTACCACCATGCCCAGCTATTTTTTTGTATTTTTAGTAGAGAAGGGGTTTCACTACATTGGTCAGGCTGGTCTCGAACTCCTGACCTCGGGCGATCCACCTGCCTTGGCCTCCCAAACTGCTGGAATTACAGGGGTGAGGGGCTGCGCCCGGCCTTGCTTGCTTTTTTTAATCTTACTTTTTGTTTTGGCCGCTCAACTGCTGCCTTTTATCTTGCTTCTTGCTCTCCCACCCCATCACCTTGCTTCTGTTTCTGCTTTTACTCATTCTGCCTTTTATCCAACTTCCAACTCCCTCTGCTGTTCTCCTGCCTCATAATGGCGGTTAGCGAGGGAGGGGTTTTAAGGGGGGCATGTCCGACCTCCTATCCTGTCACAGCCAGAAACAGCTTTCAAGGTTTCTCTGTGGTCCTGTCAGCCAAGAGGGGAGTCCGTTCAGTTGGTTGTAGGGCCTAGGGCTTATTTTTATTTCTCAATCCTGACAAGGGAAGGCTGGATTAATGCAGATTCTCTGCAGGTGTAAATTTCCCCTACAAAAGACAGTTTTGCAGAGTTACTTCTGTTTGCTGGCTCTCTGACAGCCATCTTAAAATATGCCAAAGAAATATATTCTGGGGTAAAATATTTTGATTTTTTCGTCTATCTATAGCTTCACCATGCTGACAGCCTCCAGTCCAAGCATACCTGAAGCCTTTCCTTTTAAAAAGCTTTTCCACCCTTCTGACTGCCTTCAAGTCTCTGCCAAAACACAAGTAACAGTGGCTGACTCCCTGCCATAGCAAGCTCAGAATAAATAGCCTTTGCTTTTTTTCATTTGGTTGGTCTTCGTTTATTTGCAGAAGCTTCAATGTAGAGTTGACAAGGACTCCATCTTTGACCAAACCTTAGTCAGTTTCCTCTGAGCCCTTTTCTCTATTAGTTCTTGGCCTGTCAAGTCCAGTTTTAGAAAAGAATACCGTCGAGCCTAGTTTAGCAAGAGTCCTACCAACCACCTTTGATAGCTAATCAAGTTCCTCTTAGTAATTTTCCATCCACTGACTTTCTTACCTTGCCGATTGGCTATAAATCTTCAACCCTTCTTGCTGTATTTGGAGTTGAGCTCGGTTCTCTGCTGGTCTCTCTTGCCTACTGCAGTACATACAATAAAATCCGCCTCATGCTTTTAACAGGTGTCAGGGTAGTCCCTCTGAAACTACTTTTGCAAAATTATGACAATCAGAGAAATCTGACATGGCTGACTCCATTTTGGTTCTAGCCTCACAGGCTAGCTGTCTTTGCTCATTCCTGTGCAATTTCTCCCAAGCTATCTTTGGGAAAAGTTGAGTTTATAGTTTAAATCAGGGGTCCCCAACCCCCAGGGCCACAAGACAGGTACTGGTCCATGGCCTGTTAGGAACCCAGCCAAACGGCAGGAGGTGAGCTGTAGGCTTTGGAGCATTACCACCTGAGCTCCGACTCTTGTCAGATCAGCATCGGCATTAGATTCTCGTCGGAGCTTGGACCCTGTTGGGAACTGCGCATGTGAGGGATCCAGATTGCACACTCCTTATGAGACTGTAACTAATGCCTGATGACCTGAGGTGGAACAGTTTCATCCGGAAACCCCCTTCCATGGAAAAATTGTCTTCCATGAAACCAGTCCCTGGTGCCAAAAACATTGGGGACAGCCAGAAAGGTGGGTTTAAATGATAACCTTCCCCAAAACTAAATTACCCCTGTAAAACTAATGAAAGGCCACCAAGTTAGGAGGATGAAAGGGACCTGAATTCTACTAAGATGTATGCCTCGTTAAATAATTACCAGCCATTATTCCAGAGGTCACAAGATTTGCAGCTTCCCCAATTACTGCTGTGAAGAACATCACTATTGCAGAACCTAAGACTGGCCTCTTGAGATGCCTTTTCAGGCTTTTGCATTTCTGACTACTGGATGTCACCATTTGGCCCGCAAATCAACCAGTCCCTTAGCTCCCACCCAGAAGCTGACTCAATGCAGGAGGGCATTTTCCACACCCCTGTGATTTCATCCCCAACAATCAGCACCGCCCAAGCCCTAGCCCCCTCCCCACCAAACTGTCTTTGAAAAAACCCTTACCTCCAAGCCTTCAGTGAGATCGTTTTGAGTAATAACTCCGTCCCCCACATGTCGTGGCTGGCCTGTGTCAATTAAACTCTTTACTGCAATGCCATGGTCTCCATGAATTGATTTTGTATGTACAATGGGCAGGAAGAACCCATCAGGCAGTTGCACCTGCAGGATGGTGCCAGTTCTTTCCACGAAGGCTGGTCAGATACCCAGAAAGTATTTCTCCACTACTACCTGGACGATGTGTCTCTCTGTCAGTCTCCAGGGAATGGGGTCTGAATCAAGTATTTAGTATTCAGCAGTTACTATACCGTCACCTAATCCCTCATTTTCAATATTTTGCCATGCCTTCCAGTGGCCTAACTGGCCACCATGCCACAGAATCTTTACTTTATGCTCTCCAGAGGAGACCTCTCCATTCAATGTTTTGTGATTTGAGCAATGGAATAGAATCTGATACTGGTGGGCTGGGGGAGGTCCCCGGACACTGGTGGGATCTCGACCCCAGCTGTGGTGTCCAGGCTCTTGACACCATCTCGAGAACCAAGTCAAGGATGAGTCAGCAAATAGTGAAAGAAGAGATGTATTGCAAAGCAGAAAGTACACACTCAAGAAAGGGGAGTTCGGGCATACCCGAGAGAGAACAATGGGTTCTGGGGTTTCATCTCAATGGGTTTCTTTAACCAAGGAGTGGAATATTCGTGAAAATTCCTGGGTAAAGGTGATTTCTCGGAACTGTGGTGCCATCCATTTTTACATCACATATTGGTCTCAGAACTGTCATGGCACTGGTGGGTGTGTGATTTAGTATGTTAATAAGTGTATAATGAGGGCCTAGGTAAAACCTACCTCAAATCTAGCACCACATTGGGTCCAGTCAGTCTTAGCCAGCTTGGTCCACACCCTGGTTTTTCAGCGTCTTATCAGCCCATAGCCTCAAGTCATGTAAATCTGCTGCCTAGAATTTGTTACCCTGCGGCCACCCTGTATTATTCCTGCCTCAAATCTACTTGTAAATATTCAAATGGTCTTTGACTTGGGAATTCCAACTTTACTTACTTCACAGTGTTTCCTGCGTTATAATCCAATGTAAGAAAAGATGATCCAGACATTTGTTAAACATCTCAAATAAGATGTATCCCAGGTATTTGTGTCAAATTTGGATTATTTTGGTTTTGTCTTTGCAGAATATAAAAAACTAACGTGAGGTAAACACTAAGGTCTGGAGATGGCTGTGCAAGAGATGACAAAGTCCAACACCACGCTGGAGAGTGTCCAATCATCTCTTCTGGGGCAGCATATTTTTCTACAATACTGAATTTGGAAAACAACAGCAACAACAACAACATCAAAAGCAAACAAATAAACAAACAAAAACCTACAAGATTCATGAAACTGGACAACTGTCTTTATAACATTACCAGTGATAAAACCAGTAAGGAAGGCTGGTTTGCAGTCATCTGAGAAGCCTCTTTCATTTCATAAATATGGTTTCTCTCTGACATTGAACGGCTTCCAATTTCAAGCGGAATGCTACATGACAAGGATAAGGATGTGAAGAGAACCGGTTTCTTTTGTAATCCTAAACGTTCTCGTCTGAGAATTAAAAGCCATTATTTGAAGAACGGTGCCCAGGCTCCAGCTGGCCACTGAAAGGTTGCTCCGCAGCGCAGGCTAAGGACCAGCTTCTTCGGGCGAGAACAGATGCCGGGGCGGGAGGGAAAAAAGGGAGAGACAGACGTCACTTCCCCCTGCCGGCTCCGGCAGCGGGTTGGTAGGCTGAGCGGCAGAAAGGCAGACGGGGACTGGGAAAGGCACTGTCGGTGACATCACGGATAGGGCGACTTCTATGTAGATGAGGCAGCGCAGGGGCTGCTGCTTCCCCACCTGCTGCTTCGCCACGAAGGATTTCCCGTGCCGTGGGAGCGGATTCAGGACCGCTGGTCGGACCTGAGAGTCCCAGCTGTGTGTCAGGGCTAGGAGGGCTGGGGGGGGTGGGGCTGCGCGGGGCAAGTGACCGTGCGTGTAAAGGGTGAAGCGTGTGAGGCTGTGGCGGGGCGGAGGTGCAAGAGCTCATACTTACCTGGCAGGGGAGATACCATGATCACGAATGTGGTTTTCCCAGGGCGAGGCTTATCCATTGCACTCCGGATGTGCTGACCCCTGCGATTTCCCCAAATGTGGGAAACTCGACTGCATAATTTGTGGTAGTGGGGGACTGCGTTCGCGCTTTCCCCTGATTTTTTGTAGTTTAAAGAATAGTCTACACAGCAAGGGTTACTTGTTTTTTTTACTGGCTTGTGTTTTAGTCTTAATCGTTACTCTCACAGTCGAAGGCTGAGAAATAGTAGTAATATGTCGCTTTCTCCCCGCCCCGGGAGAAATAAGAATCGTCGACCTTTACACAAGCTAGCTAGCGCGAAGGCCGCACAGCTCTTCCTTTATCTAGGCGGGGCTGCTTTTTGCAGAGATTTGTCTGCCCATGGTCTGCAGTCTCTTGGGTTCTCAGGGTCTGTGAAAATCTACGTGTTTTTCCCTAGCCCCCAGTCACATTTCACACAGCCTCTGCTTCTAGCTGCAGCCCCCTCAGGAGTCTGTAGGATTTCTGTGCTAGCGGGGAATGTGTTCTCACCTCATAGAGCCGGGTACAAACTATGCAGGCGGGGGCTGTTCTTTGGGATGAAAGCAGGGCCTTTAGGGCTCTTAGCGCGTCCCCGTTGGGTTGTAGACATAACACGCTTACTTTGCGGAGTGGAACGGCTCTCCCGGAGCCCAGGTGTCCTAACGCAATTCATCGAGGCCCGCAGGTCAAAACCGCAGTCTCACCTGTCTTGGCCGAAATGCGCTGCGATCCTCCCTGAAATATAAGGCGGGAAGTTTTATGAGGAGACGGGTCCAGTTTCCCTACTATCTCCTGCCGTTTACATATCTAGTCTTTCTTCAGACTTTATTTAAGCGACAGCTTCTTGTTTGATGTCTCGCTTCCGCATCCCACAGCCATTGCCAGGCAGCTTTCTAGATAGCACCCCGACCCATCCTTCCCACCCCCAAGCAGCCCTTTCCTATTTCTGGCGCCAGTGTCCTCCCCCCTTCCTCTTTCTTCAGGCCCTCGCTTATCACCTTCATGGACAGAAAATACTTAGCTCTCTCTCAACCTGCAGTTTGCACCTGACACGCGTCAGTACCCTGGCAAATTCCTTAATACCCCTTCTCAAATGACACTGTAAATTCATCTTTTTTTTTTTTTTTTTTTTTTTTTTTTTTTTTTGACGGAGTCTCGCTCTGTCGCTCAGGCTGGAGTGCAGTGGCACGATCTCGACTCTCTGCAAGCTCAGTCTCCCGGGTTCACGCCATTCTCCTGCCTCAGCCTCCTACCAGTAGCTGGGACTACAGGCGCCGGCCACCACGCCCGGCTAATTTTTTGTATTTTTAGTAGAGACGGGGTTTCACCGCGTTAGCCAGGATGGTCTCGATCTCCTGACCTCGTGAACCCTCCCAAAGTGCTGGGGTTACAGGCGTGAGCCACCGCGCCCGGCAAATTAATCTCTTTTTAACTCCCAGAAGTATCTAATTGGTTTTGTCCCTGCACTACATGAATACTACAGAAGAAAACCCCAGGCCTAGCGATGGCGGATCTGGGCATTGTGCCAGCCTCTCCCAGGGTATGTTTTCTGACCTCACCTACTTCTGATCAACTGAGGTCAGGAGTTCGAGACCAGCCTGACCAACATGGCGAAACTCTGTCTCTGTTAAAAATACAAAACAAAACAAAACAAAACAAAAAAATAGCCAGACGTGGTGGTGTGCGTCTGTAGTCCCAACTACTTGGGAGGCTGAGGCAGGAGAATCGCTTGAACCCGGGAGGCGGAGGTTGCCGTGAGCCGAGATCGTGCCGTTGCACCCCAGCCTGGGCGACAGAGGGAGACTCTCTCTCAAAAACAAAAAATAAAAAACAAAAACAAAACAAACAAAAAACAAAAAAACTAGTCCATCTGAGACATATTATTGGAGACAGTAGAATTCTGCATCCAACAGGCACTTGGTGCAGATCTGAACCCATTGAGCTATTGGCTCATGTTCCCTCTGTTCTATTAAGTATCATGAGCAGAAATTGAGCTCTTTGGCTTTTACCCACTAAGTATGGCTGTAGGACAGGTCTCTCTCTCTCTCCCTCTCTCTCTCTCTCTCTCTCTGTCTCTCTCTCTCTCTCATTTTTGCATCATTATATTGTGCCATCAGTGTGGGTTTTTGGTTTTGATGTTATGAAGTGAATTTCTGGGGACAATCTCTGTTGGGTGGTGTTGACAAGGATCCAGTCCCTGTTTGGTAATACATGACAGCTAAGCTGCTCTGTGAGTCTTTTTTATTGTCTATTTATTGTCCTGAGAATAATGGTATTTCCTGATATTTGAGACTGCAGCAATGATGAGTTGTTCATATCTTGTCTTTCCAATGTTTGTTAAAAATTTTACAGGCCCAATAGTTGTCAATATCTGCAAGAGTGGCATCTCTATTACAAGAGTGATCTTACTACTCAATGTCCCCCTCCCACCCAACTTTGTTCCATAGGAGCTCTTGGCTTTAACAAATTTACTATATCTAAAAGACATCTTAGCACAGGAAGAACACTAAATCTGTAGCATGTAAGGAGCAGTTTTCTTTGATTGGTATATTCAGGTTTCTAACCAGCTGAAAAATTCAAATACATGTCCTTTAAGGATTAAGTTTAAACCACACTACAGAAAGGAGAGAAAAGACTTATATGATCATATGTAAGCAATGGAATCAGCAATATGAGCACTTTTCACAACTATACAAATCAAATTTAATAATCTCCAGAACATTAAGGAAGTTCAGCCCTTAATGAAAATGAATGAAAAGAAATTATTCGCCCACTGTCATATGCCCTGGAAAGAGAATGTCCTGCCGGACTCAAAAGGGTATCACAATATTACTCAGATTTTCAGCAACGAAGGCCCTCTGAGGATTTAATGATGTTAACATTTTCAGTTTATTTCCTTCACTGATAAACATTGTTAATAGATACCATTGCCTCTGTTTTCACCTTAAGTGATGTTACTTAGCACAATTCGTTTCTTTAGAATGCCCCCTAGTTTGGTGGAAGGAATTTTCTTGCTTTATTAATATAGGATATTTTCTCATGAAGCAAACTGGCATACTCTTTCAGTGAAGTGAATAGACAAATTAGGTCTCTAAAATTTTAAAGGAGTCACTGCCCCAATTATCTTAGGAACAATAATAATCACTTATATAAAATTAAAATAAGAAAATTAAGCCAGGTATGGTGGCTCATATCTGCAATCCCAGCACTTTAGGAGGCTGAGGAGGGAGGATCAATTGAGGTTAGGAGTTGGATACCAGCCTGGCAATATAGTGAAACCCCTGTCTCTACAAATTTTTAAGTATTAGCTAATTTTTTAAAGTTGGCCAGGCATGATAATGCATGACTGTAATCTCAGCTACTTGGGAGACTGAGGCAGGCTGCAGTGAACTATGATTGCGCCACTGCCCTCCAGCCTGAGTGACAGAGTGAGACTCCCAACTCAAAAAAAAAAAAAAGAAAGAAAGAAAAGAAAAAGAAAAAGAAAGAAAATTAAGAATTTGTTGAAAATTGTTTTACTACAATGCTAGGCTGCATGTCTTGCACCTGTACTCCCAGCAACTCAACAGGCTGAGGCAGAAGGATTGCTTTAGGCCAGCAGTTGGAGACCAGCCTGGGCAACAGGGCAAGACCCCATCTCTAAAAAAATACAAGGCAAGTTGAGCCAGGAGGATTGCCTGAGCCCAGAAGTTCCAAGCTGGTCAGCTATGATAGCCCCGCTGCACTCAAGCCTGGATAACAGAGCAAGACCCTGCGCCTTATTTTTTATCTTTTTTTTTTTTTTTTTTTTTTTACTACTTATGCTTATTTATTTGTTTTTGAGACAGAGTCTTGCTCTGTAGCCCAGGCTAGACTGAAGTGGTGCAATCTCAGCTCACTGCAAGCTCTGCCTCCCAGGTTGAAGCTATTTCCCTGCCTCAGCCTCCAGAGTAGCTGGGATTACAGGCGCATGCCACCACACACAGCTAATTTTTATATTTTTAGTAGAGACGGGGTTTCACCATGTTTGTCAGGCTGGTCTCAAGCTCCTGACCCCAAGTGATGCACCTGTCTTGGCCTCCCAAAGTGCTGGGATTACAGGTGTGAGCCACCTCACCCAGCCTACTTATGCTTGAAATGTGAGGTTTCATTAGGGAGAAATTTTCTGGTTGAATTTCTAACATGAAAAAAATAATAGATTTAGCAGTAGATTAAATTAATGGTCTTGATAGTTTGGTACAATAAAATAAATGGAATGAAGTTGACAGCAGAGAGGAATCTTTGATGCTTTTGAACAATTTAAATAGTGTAAGTATTGTGGGGAAAAGAAAGAGAGATCAGACTGTCACTGTGTCTATGTAGAAAGAAGGAGACATAAGAGACTCCATTTTGTTCTGTACTAAGAAAAATTCTGCCTTGAGATGCTGTTAATCTGTAACCCTACCCCCAACCGTGTGCTCCCTGAAACAAGTGCTGTGTCCACTCAAAGTTAAATGAATTAAGGGCTGTGCAGGATGTGCTTTGTTAAACAGATGCTTGAAGGCAGCATGCTTGTTAAGAGTCATCACCACTCCCTAATCTCAAGTACCCAGAGACATAATACACTGCAGAAGGCCACAGGGACCTCTGCCAAGGAAAGCCAGGTATTGTCCAAGGTTTCTCCCCATGTGATAGTCTGAAATATGGCCTCGCCGGAAGGGAAATACCTGACCGTCTCCCAGCCCGACACCCGTAAAGTGTCTGTGCTGAGGAGGATTAGTAAAAGAGGAAGGCATCTGTCTCCTGCTCATCCCTGGGCAATGGAATGTCTCGGTGTAAAACCCGATTGTATATTCCATCTATTGAGATAGGAGAAAACCCCTTTAGGGCTGGAGGTGGGACATGTGGGCAGCAATACTGCTCTTTCAGGCATTGAGATGTTTCTGTATATGCACATCAAAAGCACAGCACTTTTTTCTTTAGCTTGTTTATGATGCAGAGACATTTGTTCACATGTTTTCCTCCTGACCCTCTCTCCACTATTACCCTATTGTCCTGCCACATCCCCCTCTCCGAGAAACACCCGATAATGATCAATAAATACTAAGGGAACTCAGAGACTGGTGCCGGCGCGGGTCCTCCGTATGCTGAGCGCCGGTTCCCTGGGCTCACTTTTCTTTCTCTATACTTTGTCTCTGTGTCTCTCTCTTTTCTCAAGTCTCTCCTTCCACCCGATGAGAAACGCCCACAAGTATGGAGGGGCAGGCCACCCCTTCATCTATTTAATATGTAAACGATGAAAACGTTCATTACATTATTATTTGCTTATTTATGTATTCATTTTGAAACGGAGTCTCACTCTGTCACCTAGTCTGGAGTGCAGTGGTGCAATCTTGGCTCACTGCAACCTCCGCCTCCTGGGTTCAAGCAATTCTCCAGCCTCAGCCTCCTCAGTAGCTGGGATTACAGGCACACACCACCACGCCCGGTTAATTTTTGTATTTTTAGTAGACACGGGGTTTCACCATGTTGCTCAGGCTGGTCTCGAACTCCTGACCTCGTGATCCGCCCCCTACGGCTTCCCAAAGTGCTGGGATTACAGGCGTGAGCCACCGTACCTGGCCCATTACGTTATTTTTTTTAAAATCAATGTGACTCTTTTGACAAATTAGAATGGCTCAATAATCTTGGTTACGCTGGGCACGGTGGCTCACGCCTGTAATCCCAGCGCTTTGGGAGCCAGAGGTCAGGAGTTCGAGATCAGCCTGGCCAACATGGTGAAACCCTGTCTCTACTAAAAATACAAAAATTAGCCGGGCATGGTGGCGGGCTCCTGTAATCCCAGCTACTCAGGAGGCTGAGGCAGAAGAATTGCTTGAACCTGGGAGGCAGAGGTTGTAGTGAGCCAAGACCGCGCCACTGCACTCCAGCCTGGGCGACAGAGTGAGACTCTGTCTGAAGGAAAAAAAAAAAAGAGAGAGAGAGAGAAATTTGGTTTTAGAACAAGACAAATTAAATGGGAGACTTACTTGCAATGAGACCTAGAAATTTCCAAATTTCTAAATTTCTAAAATTTCTAAAAGAACTGAGAAAATTGCGCCGGGCGCGGTGGCTCAGGCCTGTAATCCCAGCACTTTGGGAGACCGAGGCGGGCGGATCATGAGGTCAAGAGATGGCGATCATCCTGGCCAACATGGTGAAACCCCGTCTCAACTAAAAATACAAAAAATTAGCCGGGCTTGATGGCGGGCTCCTGTAGTCCCAGCTCTCGGGAGCCTGAGGCAGGAAAATTGCTTGAATCCGGGAGGCGGAGGTTGCAGTGAGCCGAGAGCACACCACTGCACTCCCGCCTGCCAATAGAGCCAGACTCCATCTCAAAAAAAAAAAAAAAAAAAAAAAAAAGAACTAAGAAAATTGCCTCCATTGAGGAAGTAAGCTTAAGGAGGTAAACTGACACGTTTTCTGAATTGAGAAATATTGAGGAGGCTTTGTCTCTTTCGCCTCCAACTGCTCCTTCTCCTCCTGCCCCTGCACCTGCATAGTCTTTCTTACCTGAGCCTTCCTGTCCTGCCTTGCCTCTTCTTCCATCACCATCACCTGAGGAAAGTCCCCAGGGCTCTGGCCCCTTCCCTGAAACTTCTGTTCTGACAGCCCCTTTCAAGGTAAAACCCAAACCCACAGGAAGAGGGGAGCCTACCATTGTGTACACCGCTTCACCAAAATGTGAATTAAGAATATTATAGCCGGGCGCGGTGGCTCACGCCTGTAATCCTAGCACTTTGGGAGGCGGAGGCGGGCGGATCACAAGATCAGGGGATGGAGACCATCCTGGCTAACACGGTGAAACCCCATCTCTACTAGAAATACAAAAAATTAGCGGGGCGTGGTGGCGGGCGCCTGTAGTCCCAGCTACTCAGGAGGCTGAGGCAGGAGAATGGCGTTAACCCGGGAGGCGGAGCTTGCAGAGAGCCGAGATCGCGCGACTGCACTCCAGCCTGGGCAACAGAGCAACACTTCATCTCAAAAAAAATAAATAAATAAAAATAAATAAAAAAAAATAAAGGACTTCCCTGATCTAAAGTTAAACACATTTCGTTCTTCTGTTTCTAAAGCAGGCTCCAAGATCCTATAGGCTTTGGCAGAAAATTCGACTTAACTGTCGAAACCTTTGAGCCCAAATATTCTGGCCTTTATCAATTAATTCACATTCTGGTGAAGAAGGCAAGGCCACTAACTGGTTGCAAAAGGCAAATTGGAAGGATTTTCAAGCAGAACATGAAAGGTTCACATTTTAGCCAAATATGTGCATGTTGCCATTCCCCAGGTCCTTCCTAAAAATATAGATTGGAGGATAATTCAGCAATGTACTAAAAAGCCAGACAAATCTGCCTTTGCTTACTTAAAATGGTTTGAGAGCCAGGCGTGGTAGCTCATGCCTGTAATCCCAGCACTTTGGGAGGCTGAAGCGGGTCGATCCCTTGAGGTCAGGAGTTCGAGACCAGCCTGCCAACCTGGTGAAACCCTGTCTCTACTAAAAACACAAAAATTAGCCAGGTGGCTACTCAGGAGGCTGAAGCAAAAGAATCGTTTGAACCCGGGAAGTGGAGGCTACAGTGAGCTGAGATCCTGCCACTGCAATACAGCCTGGGTGACAGAGCGGGACTCTGTCTCAAAAAGAAAAAAATTAGCAGGGTAGTAGAAATATAATGCACACGAGAATGATAATCATGAAGACAATCTGTATTCCAGAATAGTAAGGGAACCTATTCCATTAGGGAGCCAACTGAAAATATAAAATCGCAGTTCACACCCCAGGGTGTGGTGTCACATGCCTGTAGTCCCAGCTACTCGGGAGGATTGGTAAGGAAGTTTGCTTGAATTCATGAGGTCAAGGCAGAAGTAACCCTGATCGTGCCACTGCACTCCAGCCTGGGGGACAGTGAGACCTTGTCTCAAAAACAAACTAAAAAACAAACAAAAACCCCCACAAAACCAGACAACAACAACAAATTGTCTCCTCACTCTGAACTGACAGCGGCAAACAACACTTTGCTATTGGAAAATTGAAAGAAAAACACTCCCTCTTGCTGTCAACCTGCCTTCTTGCCCTAACATTTCTGACCCATGGTTTAAAATGCCCAAAAGCTGATGTACTCAATTTCACTTACCTGTTCTGCACCAGCATTTATTTTTGTGTGGAGGAGATCACCATGCATGGTCCTATAAATGTCTAATGGCATGGAATCATGAAGGGCCGTGTCTTTTAGGATATTTGGATATTTATACACATATACATATATATATATATATCTGAAGAAACCCAACATTACATATATATATGTAAGCGGAATGCTTCATCACAAGGGTAAGGACGTGAAAAAAAAGTTTCTTTTGTCATCCTAAACGTTCTCGTCTGCGAATTAAAGGCCATTATTTGAAGAAGGGTGCCCAGGCTCCAGCTGGTCGCCGAAAGGTTGCTCCGCAATAGAAGCTAAGGACCAGCTTCTTTGGGAGAGAACAGACAAGGGAGCGGGAGAGAAAAAAGGGAGAGACAGACGTCACTTCCCTTTGCCGGCTCAGCAGCGGGTTGGTCGGCTGAGTTGGCGGAGGTTGGGGTGGAAGAGCAGACGGGGACTGGGAAAGGCACTGTCGGTGACATCACGGATAGGGCGACTTCTATGTAGATGAGGCAGCGCAGAGGCTGCGCTTCGCCACATGCTGCTTCGCCACGAAGGAGTTCCCGTGCCGTGGGAGCGGGTTCAGGACCGCTGGTCGGACCTGAGAGTCCCAGCTGTGTGTCAGGGCTAGGAGGGCTCGCGGGTGCGCGGGGAAGTGACCGTGCGTGTAAAGGGTGAGGCGTACGGGGCGGAGGTGCAGGAGCTCATATTTACTTGGCAGGGGAGATAACGTGACCACGAAGGTGGTTTTCCCAGGGCTGAGGCTTATTCATTGTACTCCGGATGTGCTGACCCCTGCGATTTCCCCAAATGTGGGAAACTCGACTGCATAATTTGTGGTAGTGGGGGGCTGTGTCCGTGCTTTTCCCTGATTTCTTTTTTTCTGGTTTCAAAAATAGACCGTACGCTCCTTGTTACTGCTTTCTTTCATTGGTTTGTGTTTTTTGTGGTGCCCTTAAGTGTTACTGTTACAGTCAGAAGCCTGCAAAATAGGAAGTGGCATGTCGCTGTCTTTCTCGCTGGAGAAGTAAGGAGTGTCAGCCGGTTTATCCTAGGCTAACCAGCGCGAAGACTGCATAGCTCTTCCCTTTGAACATAAGGCTGCTTATTGCAGAAATTGATCCACGGTCTCCAGCGTCTTGGGTTCTCACGCTCTGTGAAGATTTTCGTGTTTTTCTCTAGCTTCCAGAGTCCCCTTTTACACAGCGTCTGCTTCTAACCGCAGCCCCCTCAGGAGTTTGTAGGATTTCTGTGCTAGCGGGGAATGTGTTCTCACCTCACAGAGCCAGGTACAAACTACGCAGACGGGGGCTGTTCTTTGGGATGAAAGCAGGGCCTTTGGGGCTCTTAGTGTCCCCGTTCGTTTGCAGACATAACACGCTTACTTTGTGGAGTGGAACGGCTCTCCCGGAGCCCAGGTGCCCTAACGCAATTCATCGAGGCCCGTAGGTCAGAACCGCAGTCTCACCTGTCTTGGCCGAAATGCGCTGCGGTCCTCCCTGAAACATAAGGCGGGAAGTTTTATGAGGAGACGGGTCCAGTTTCCCTACTATCTCCTGCCGTTTACATATCTAGTCTATCTTCAGACTTTATTTAAGCGACAGCTTCTTGTTTGATGTCTCGCTTCTACATCCTACATCCACTGCCAGGCAGCTTTCTAGATAGCACCCCGACCCATCCTTCCCACCCCCAAGCAGCCCTTTCCTATTTCTGGCGCCAGTGTCCTCCCCCCTTCCTCTTTCTTCAAGACCCCCCTTATCACCTTCATGGACAGAAAATACTTAGCTCTCTCCGAACCTGCAGTTTGCACCTGACACGCGTCAGTACCCTGGAAAATTCCTTAATACCCCTTCTCAAATGGCACTGTAAATTCATCTCTTTTTAACTCCCAGAAGTATCTAATTGGTTTTGTCCCCGCACTACATGAATAGTAGTATTTCAGTACAGAAGAAAACCCCAGGCCTAGCGATGGCCGTTCTGGGCATTTTGCCAGCCTCTCCCAGGGTGCGTTTTCTGACCTCACCTACTTCTGATCAGCTGAGGTCAGGAGTTCGAGACCAGCCTGACCAACATTGCGAAACCCCGTCTGTACTAAAAATACCAAAAAAAAAAAAAAAAAAAAAAAATGCCCAGCGTGGTGGTGTATGTCAGCAAGGCTGTAATCCAAACTACTCAGGAGGCTGAGGCAGGAGAATCTCTTGAACCCAGGAGGCAGAGATTGCAGTGAGCTGAGATCCTGCCACTGCATGCAATACAGCCTGGGCAACAGAGTGAGGCTCTGTCTCAAAAAAAAAAAAAAAAAAGAAAAGAAAAGAAAAAAGAAAAAAAAATTAGCAGGTTAGTAGAAATATAATGCACACGAGAATGGCAACCATGAAGACAATCTGTATTCCAGAATAGTAAGGGAACCTATTCCATTAGGGAGCCAACTGAAAATATAAAATCCCAGTTCACACCCCAGGGTGTGGTGTCACGTGCCTGTAGTCCCAGCTACTCAGGAGGATTAGTAAGGAGGTTTGCTTGAATTCATGAGGTCAAGGCAAAAGTAACCCTGATCGTGCCACTGCACTCCAGCCTGGGGGACAGTGAGACCTTGTCTCAAAAACGAACAAAAAACCCCACAAAACCAAACAACAACAAAAATTTGTCACCTCACTCTGAAATGACAGTGGCAAACATCACTTTGCTATTGGAAAACTGAAAGAGAAACACTCCCTCTTGCTATCAACCTGCCCTCTTGCTCCAACGTGTGTGACCAATGGTTTAAAATGCCCAAAAGCTGATGTACTCAATTTATAGTACACTTACCTGTTCTGCACCAGCATTTATTTTTGTGTGGAGGAGATCACCATGCATGGTCCTATAAATGTCTAATGGCATGGAATGATGAAGGGCAGTGTCTTTAAGATATTTGGAGATATATATATATATATACACATATATACACACACACATATATATAAATATATATATATACACACATATATCTGAAGAAACCCAACATTGGGCGAGTTCCCTCTAACTTTTCTTTTTTTTTTTTTTTTTTTAATTTTTTTTTTTTTTTATTATACTCTAAGTTTTAGGGTACATGTGCACATTGTGCAGGTTAGTTACATATGTATACATGTGCCATGCTGGTGCGCTGCACCCACTAACGTGTCATCTAGCATTAGGTATATCTCCCAATGCTATCCCTCCCCCCTCCCCCGACCCCACCACAGTCCCCAGAGTGTGATATTCCCCTTCCTGTGTCCAAGTGATCTCATTGTTCAATTCCCACCTATGAGTGAGAATATGCGGTGTTTGGTTTTTTGTTCTTGCGATAGTTTACTGAGAATGATGGTTTCCAATTTCATCCATGTCCCTACAAAGGACATGAACTCATCATTTTTTATGGCTGCATAGTATTCCATGGTGTATATGTGCCACATTTTCTTAATCCAGTCTATCATTGTTGGACATTTGGGTTGGTTCCAAGCTACCAATGCCTATGCCTTTCTTCACAGAATTGGAAAAAACTACTTTAAAGTTCATATGGAACCAAAAAAGAGCCCACATCGCCAAGTCAATCCTAAGCCAAAAGAACAAAGCTGGAGGCATCACACTACCTGACTTCAAACTATACTACAAGGCTACAGTAACCAAAACAGCATGGTACTGGTACCAAAACAGAGATATAGATCAATGGAACAGAACAGAGCCCTCAGAAATAATGCCACATATCTACAACTATCTGATCTTTCACAAACCTGAGAAAAACAAGCAATGGGGAAAGGATTCCCTATTTAATAAATGGTGCTGGGAAAACTGGCTAGCCATATGAAGAAAGCTGAAACTGGATCCCTTCCTTACACCTTATACAAAACTCAATTCAAGATGGATTACAGATTTAAACGTTAGGCCCTCTAACTTTTCACTAGGCATGACCACTGCTCTATTTTAGATAGAGATTCAGTGGGGCAAAACCTGAGAATTATCTGCCCGGCTATCAAGAAGATAGCTCCTTGCATTTTTGCGGGGAGAGCACTTTTGCTTCAAGGGAGTGTTTCTTCCTAGGATTATAAATCTTTCTGTAACCTCAGGAAACACTGCTGATGAAAACCAGGCATGGTGGCTCTGGCCTGTAATCCCAGTGACTCGGGGGCTGAGGCAGGAGGATCACTTAAGCCCAGGAGTTGAAGGCTGCAGTGAGCTATGATGGCACCACTGCACTCCAGCCTGGGACACAGAGACAGACGCTGTCTCTGAAAGAAAAAGAAAAAAGAAAGAAAAACATTGCTGATGAAACTGCGGCCTCTTTTGCAGCTCAATAAAAAGCTATTTATTCACTGGCTAAGGTTGTACTAGGTAATCACATCACTTTAGATGATATATTTAGCTGAGCAGGGAGATGTATGTGTGGTGGCAAATACCTTTTGTTGCATATACATAAATGTTTCCCATGCAGTAGAACCTTCTCTAGAAAAAAAATTAGAAAGGAAGCCACTTGGCTACAATAAATCACTAAAGAAGAAATGGTATTTGATGTTTTCCCTGATGTTTTCAGTTGGCTGCCTAATGGAATAGGTTCCCTTACTGTTTCGGGATATAGATTCTCTTTGTGATTATCATTCTTGTGTGCATTATATCTCCACTAGTCAAATTATTAATGTTATGTATTTCTCATTGTTTTCATGGTACTCTGAAGACTAGAGATGATTCAACAAGTGACAGCAACTATAGAATTGGCCGAGATCTCTCTGTCTCCCCCCCCGCCCCCAATTCTGTGATGCCAATTCAGCTTCTGGGCACTGTTAAAAATTCCTTAGTGAGAGGGCTCCTTTCCTCCCCTGCCCCCAGTGTGGGACAGGACTATCTGGGAATGAGCCTTTCTGGCAAGGAGAGATACAGCTTTTGATCAACAATGCTTTCAAGAAAGACTTTTTATCTGGCCGGGCGCGGTGGCTCACGCCTGTAATCCCAGCACTTTGGGAGGCAGAGGCGGGCGGATCATGAGGTCAGGAGATCGAGACCATCCTGGCTAACACAGTGAAACCCCGCCTCTACTAAAAATACAAAAAATTAGCCGGGCGTCGTGGCGGGCGCCTGTAGTCCCAGCTACTCGGGAGGCTGAGGCAGGAGAATGGCGTGAACCCGGGAGGCGGAGCTTGCAGTGAGCCGAGATCCCGCCGACAGAGCGAGACTCCGTCTCAAAAAAAAAAAAAAAAAAAAAAAAGACTTTTTATCTAAAGGGAGAATGAGGAAAGAAGAGAACTTTTATGAGGAGTGTGAGCCTTTCCAAATTCTCAGGCCCAGAGAGGCATTACATTGTGACAGCAACCACATTCTGCTTCCTTTTTGTACAATACTGTATTTGAAAAACAAAAAAACAAACCTACGAGACTCATGAAATTGGACAACATTCTTTATAACACTACTACTGGTAAAACCAGCAAGGATGGCTGGTTTGCAGTCATCTGAGCAGCCTCTCTAGTTTCATAGATATGATTTCTCTCTGATAGTCAAAGGCTTCCAATTTTAAGCAAAATGCTACTTCACAAAGATAAACAGCTTTGAAAGGAAACGGTTTTCTTTGTAATCCTAAATGTTCTAGTCTGCGAATTAAAAGCCACTATTTGAAGACCGGCGCACAGCTTCCAGCTGGCCGCCAGAAGGGTCCTCCGCAGGACACAAGTTAAGTAGTCGCTTCTTTGGGGGATACTAGATGCGGGGTCTGGGCGCACCTCCGGAAAGGACAAGGGCGGGAGGGAGAGGTGGGACAGCAGACGTCACTTCCTCCGTCGGCTCCCCCAGCGGGTTGGTAGGCTGAGTGGCGGAGGGTGGGGCGGAAGAGCAGAAGGAGACTGGGAAAGGCACTGTCGGTGACATCACCGATAGGGCGTTTCTATGTAGATGAGGCAGCGCAGGGGCTGCTGCTTCGCCACGAAGGATTTCCCGCGCTGTAGGAGCAAGTCCAGGACCACTGGCTGGACATGAGAGTCCCAGCTGTGTGTTAGGGCTAGGAGGGCTCGGGGTGGTTGGGGATTGGCTGGAGTGGTGCTGGGGCAAGTGACTGTGCGTTTAAAGGGTGAGGCGTATGGAGCTGTGGCGGGGCGGAGATAGGTGCAATCTTATTTATGTGGCAGGGCAGATATTGTGGTTACTGAAATGGCTTTTAAACCCGACTCAACTATTTCATTTCAAGTGTGCTGTTCTGTCATTTTCTCTAACGTGGGAAGCTCAGCTGCGTAACTTGTAGTAACGAAGCGGAAGTTACAACGAAAAGACAAGTTTTCCTGTGCTTCGCAGGCCCCCCCTCCCCCCCCACCAAGGCCTGCAGTGGATAGAGCCTAGCAGATCCTGGACAATACTATCCTAAAAGCTACATCTCTGACAGTGATTTCCAGCGACTTTGTCAACACGGTCCGCCCCCAGCAAGTATAAGAGGAAAAACAACAAATGTCTTTACTGCCTTGTCTTTCCCCCTTGCCACTTGTCATTATTCAAGTTTTGTAAGTTCCTGATTTCCATTCAGTGCAGCTGCAAGGTTACCAGCTGTGCTTGCGTTGCAAGACCTGTCACAGTTTGATTAACTGCCTTCTTTCTGCTTCTGTAAGCCCTCTTGCCTGCCCCGCGAGTTTCGCACCATCAAATTCCTGCTGCACCATTCAAACTAGCCAACCCCCTTTCAGAAGTGTGTATAAAAGTCAAGCCCCCTGTCTTTCTTCGGGGCTCACGCTAGGCCCGAGTGCACTCAATAAAATCCTTCTGTTCCACCCGTTGGTCTCTTTGTTCTCCTGATTCCCGCAACAGTAGTAGGGGACTGCGTTCGTGCTTTCCCCTGGTCTTTCATGGTATGAATAATAGACAGCATTTGCTTTTTTCATCTATAGTCGCAGGCCCGGTCTCAGTGATTGTATGGTGTGGTCAGCTGTTTTTGTTTTTGTGAGACCTTATTTTCTTGTTTACTGTCCTGGGACAGATGTCTGTAGTCACTTGTTTCCTCAGGAGGCAAATTTCAGTCTCTGTGGGGGAGGTCTCTCATGTTAGCTGTGGTGGTACTTGGCGGGCAGAGCTCAGGGATCTAGGCTTCCCTGCTTTGTAGATTGCTCAGTGGTCCCCAAGGCCTACTGGCTTTTAACACCACTTGAAAACCTTAGTGTTTTTCCATTGTCCCCAGAGTCACCTCTTACAGAGCCTCTTTTTTTTGTTTGTATTTTTCCCTGAGACAGAGTCTCACTGTATCTGGTGGGATCTTGGTTCAAGCGATCCTCCCACCTCAGCCTCTGGAGTAGCACAGGCACGAGCCATCGCAGCCGGCTAATTTCTGTTCTTGTTTTGTTGTTGTTGTTGTTGTTTTGTTTTTTTAAGAGTTGAAGTTTCGCCATGTTGCCCAGGTTGGTCTCCAATTCCTGGACTCAAGTGATCTGCCCTGCCTTGGCCTTCTAAACTGCTGGGATTACACGTATGATCCATCACACCTGGCTAGCCCCTGCTTTTCCCTATAGCATTCATGGGAGTTTGTAGGATTTCTGTGCTGGGGGGAACATGTACTCAGCTCATAGAACCAAGTAGAAATTGTACTTGGAACTGGTGCCATTGGGTTGTAGACATAACACGCTTGCTCTTTGTATGGAAAGGGCTTTGCCAGTGCCCTGGTGCCCCTGCACAGGACATCGAGGCCTGCAGGTCAGAATGGCAGTCTCACCTATGTGTTCGTGTAATACGCAGCAATTCTCCCTGGAATATAAGATGGGAGGTCTTGTGAGGTTCCTACAAGTAAGAAGACACATTTCCCTGAAGTTTGTATTGACGAATTTAAAAACTAATAATAACAGCCCAACCTCCTGGATGGCAAATGTCCTTTACATTGACAGACCGCAACTGCCCTACTTGCCTCAGCTCCTCCGTGCAGATGCAGCCCCTGATTCCCTCCACACAGGTCATTTCCTCTCTGCTTTATCCAAAAGAGGGAGACAGGGGTTCTGCAGGAACCGCTAGGCCTTCAGGCCTTTGCTAGGAGCAAAGTAGGGGGAAATGGTCGCTGGAGCTGGGACCTGGGCACTGGGCCAGGTTGCCCTGCCGGAGGGGAAGTACTCAGGGCTAGAGGGGGCCAAGCACCAAGACCTCAGCATCCTCAACCTCCAAAAGGACTCAGAGAGAGGCAGAAACCGAAACAGGGTTCTTCTTTCAAGGAAGACCCCAGGGCTCTGAACCAAAATCCAGATTTTTCCCCATCTGCAGCTTAATTCCACCTTAGTTGGTGCAACTTCATCCTTCCCCTATGCTCAGGACAAAAAACGGTTCTTCTATAGCCTGGTCATTCTCTGATCCCATACATCCTATTGGTCAGAAAATTATGTTTTTTCTTTGGTTAACTGCAGACTTTGGTCTGCACAATCTTTTTCTTTCTTGGTCTGAAAACCACCCCACAGTCCCATATGTAGCTTTTTTGGATAAACCTAGAAATGGACCCTTCTGGTCTTACAGCTTGAAACTTAATATTTGTTGGCCGGGTGCGGTGGCTCACGCCTGTAATCCCAGCACTTTGGGAGGCCGAGGCGGGTGGATCACGAGGTCAGGAGATCGAGACCATCCTGGCTAACACGGTGAAGCCCCGTCTCTACTAAAAATACAAAAAAGTAGCTGGGTGTGGTGGTGGGTGCCTGTAGCCCCAACTGCTCGGGAGGCTGAGGCAGGAGAATGGCATGAACCTGGGAGGCGGAGGTTGCAGTGAGCCGAGATCGCGCCACTGCACTCCAGCCTGGGCGACAGAGCAAGACTCCGTCTCAAAAAAAAAAAAAAAAAGAAAGAAACTTAGTATTTGTTTTATCTGAGTTCCTTCCTCAGGAAATGACCTTCAGGCCTGTCAAAAAAGCTATCAAAGTACTGAAATTCATCCAGAAAATGAGATGCTGGGACCCCTCATTCATCATGATTGCTTCCTTGCTCCTCCCTAGTTCCTGTTTTCTTACTCATTGTTAACATTTCTTCCCTGCCATCTAAACCTCTGGTTTTGGTTGGTCAGGGAGATGGATTTGAGACTGAGTTCTCATCTCCCCCACTGCAGCACCCTATTAAAGTGCCTTCCTTGGCGATAAGCGTCTCGGTGATTGGCTTTCTGTGCGGCAACCAGCAGGAATCCCAGATCTCTGAATTTTGGCAAAGGAGTCTCGTGATAAAGGTGGGATGGATTCTACTGACCAACATCAAACCGTTCAGACATTTGAAAGCCTTAATCTCAGGGTCGGGGTTTGGGCCGCCCTTGAGCCTTTTCCTTGGGCCTATCCATTAAAATCAGCCTGGCCAGGCCTGTCTTCAAGGTCCAGGGGTAGGGTCAGGTCCTCCCGACGCTTCTTGACGCTTCTCCCGCCGGGTCGGCAGCCACCCTCCCCTTCCCTGTGACCTGCAGAGAAGCTTCAGGGGGCGTTTATTCAATCTGCGAGGAGCCCACGAGGCACAGGCACACGGTGACTCTGGTTCCCACTGCACCCACCGCCCTCCTTGGTCCTCTCGCTCTCTCTGGCAGGCAGTAACGTTCTGGGTGAGCATGGGTGCTGAAGACACCCAGGCAGGAAGGGTAGGGAAGGGCACCAGCCCCTTAGGTCCTGCGCAGTGGGGATCCAAAAAAGGTCTTGAAGAAACAGAAAGGGAGCGTTGGGAGTAGATCAAAGGGAAAGAAAGGAATCCTAGGAGATTTCCTGTCTGAAGGCACCATGAAGAGAAAGTCCGCCTCCTCTGGGCCGGGTCCTCCCGTCGCAGGTGAACCAAGTGCCGGTCTCCATTGGAGACCAAAGCAGATAACTTTGCCCTGACTCCTAGTTAGGAAGCCATGTTTTGTCCTCCCCTGTTTAGCGCTTGATCCTGTAGCACTTGATTGTCTCTCCCGGGCTTTCTATGGATTCCAGGGATGCAACTGAGAAGTTAGTTTTTAATGCACTTTTGCTTGAAGTAAGAGTATTTTAGGCTGGGCAAGGTGGCTCACGCCTGTAATCCCAACACTTTGGGAGGCCAAGGTGGGCAGATTACTTGAGGTCAGGAATTTGAGACCAGCCTGGCCAACATGGTGAAACTCCGTCTCTACTAAAAATACAAAAATTAGCCGCCTGTGTTGGCTCAGGCCTGTAGTCCCAGCTACTCACGAGGCTGAGGCAGGAGAATCCTTTGAACTTGGGAAGTGGAAGTTGCAGTGCGCTGATCTCAAAAAAAAAAAAAAGAAAGTATTTTAGAATCTTTCGGCAAAGGAAATGAATTCTGACAGGTTTTGCACTGAAGACATTCAGATGTGAGGAAAACACGAAAACCACTATGCTAGGGGAAAGCAAATGCTGTTGAGAATGTCTCACAAACACAAATTACACGTCAGCAGGTAGGTTTGACCCTCAGGTTCGGCACATTTTACTTTAAGTGTACTGTTGGTGGAACTTAGGATGAATCTAGAACATTCACGATGTATGTATGTATGTGTGTATATGTATATATATACACACACATATATACATATATATGAGCATATATATACACACATATATATACATACACATGAGCACGTATATATATGTGTATATATATGTGTGTGTATATATATGTGTGTGTATATATATATGTATATATACATATATATATGTGTATGTATATATACATATATATATATGTGTATGTATATATACATATATATATATGTGTATGTATATATACATATATATATATATGTGTATGTATATATATGAGAGACAGAGAGACAGGGTCTTGCTGCCTTGCCCACACTGGTCTCCAACTCTGGGCCTCAAGCGATCCTCCTGTCTCGCCTTCCCAAAGTGCTGGGACTACAGGCGTGCACCACCTTGTCCAGCCCATTTTAATGTTTTTAATTTAAATACACATTCCAAAAATTATATAACAAGTACAAGAAGCCCGCTTTATGCCAGTTTTACAAAAACAAAGTGGCAACATCCTAAAGTACTGAAAGAAATAAAGTTTTCCTAGAATTCTATGCCAAAATGAAAAATCTTTCAAGAATGTGATTGAAATAAGGACATTTAAAGACATACAAAAAAAAAAAAGAAAGAAAGAATTCAGCAACCCACACGACAAGAAATGCAAAGGGAGTCCTCCAGGCCTAAGGATAAGGATACCAGACAGAAAACTGGATCTACACAAAGAAATGGAGACTACTGGAAATCGGTATGTACACAGTTAAATATATATGTTCTTCTTATTTAAATCTTTTAAAATAATTTGACCGATTAAACAAAAGCAATAATAATGGATTGTGGGGTTTATAACATGTCTAAAACCAAATTACATGACAACACCAGCATAATGGCCAGAAGGGGAGGTAGAATGTCACTAGATGGCACTGATAAAGATGTATTCTGGAAACCCTAAAGCCATCACTGAAAAAGCAAAAGCAGAAAAGAAGTCGGAGATGCGGTGGACAAGAAGAAAGAAAGAGTTATAGCTAATAAGCCAACAAAGGGAAGAAGAACATGGAATGATATAAAAACCATGTAATCACTGTGCTGGAGCAACTGCTCTCCAGGCCTCTACCCTATAGAAATACACTAGTGGCCAATGAGAAGTGTACAAGAATGATGACTGCAGCATTGTTTGTAATCATAAAATAATAGAGCCAATGTACTTTCAAAGATATATGAAAAGGGTTTTATTTATTTAACAAACACAAACAATTGTACAAACAAGGGAAGCAAGTCCTTTCGCCAAAAGGAACACAGAGGGTCATGATGATGCTACTCCTCCAGGGATTTCAGGGTTCCCAGACACCCAGTTTTCTGTCTAGTTCTTCTGGAAGATGTTATTCTTGGGGAGTTATAGGTCCTCGCGTTTGGAGCTCTTTCATGTTCTCTCTGAATTTTCCCCTCAGTTCCTCCCCATTCTGCTTCAACAACAACAACAACAACAAAAAACAATTCTCACCTCCAGAAGATCCAGCCTGTGCCTCTGCACGAGCCTTTCAGGAGGTCTGGATGTGTGTTCCACCGCTCCCCGGCTTCTTTCCCCGCTTTTGCTTTTCCCTTCCCTCCTGCCCTCCCGCCCCAGGACCCTACCACTGCTCAGCTGAGCCCCCGCGGCTCCACCGCGCAGAAGGTGCACTGGAGGCCCTGCCCGTTGCCCTCCCCGGGGGATGCCTAGAAATCAACGTGAATAAACGCTTTGAAAAAAGAACTTCCCCATGGAAAAATCTCATGATTTCTATTCTTGGGATTCTTCAAGGGACTAAAAGCTAAAGGCGACGATGGCCCCGGGAGGTCGAGGCTGCAGTGAGCCGTGTTTGCACCACTGCACTCCAGCCTGGGTGACCTAGCGAGACCCTGTCTCAAAAACAAATCAAAACTTCCCCATGGTAAAATATTTCATGATTTCCATTTTCGGGGCTCTTCAAAGGACTAAAAGCTGAAGGTGACGATGGATTAATTCAACAAGTCCTAGTCGTGCGCGCTGGTGAGTGCCAGACCCTGCTCTCCGCGAGGGGACCCACGAGCCACCCTCACCACCATCCCTGCCCTGGTGGAGCCCCCGTGCGGGACACAGGATCCGAAGATGGCAGCGGAAGTTCCGCAGCGGCCTCAAAAGTGACTGGGCAGGGTGGGCACAGGCTGCCTCACTGGGTCAAGGCGGCACAAAGAACCATCGCGGGAGCCCACCGGGCGTTCAGCTTCCCTTGGGCCCCCAGGCGGCTCAGGTCCGGGTCGGGGCCGGGTGTTTCCGGGGGCTTCTGCTGCAGGTGAGGGGCAAGGTCGTCCTGGTTCCAGAATCTCCCAACCTGCGGGTCTCCAATGAGACCAACACGATTCACCCCTCTCATCGCTCCAGTTTTCCAAGGCCTTTCACAGTTGTACTGCCGGGTGGGCTCTGAGGATGGGAGGGTTGGGGAGTGTTTGGTGAGTGCACCCTTCCTATAGCGCCCAGAAGAAGGTACACTACGTGTCTCTGTGGCACAATCGGTTAGCGCGTTTGGCTGTTAATCTAAAGTTTGGTGGTTAGAGCCCACTGAGGGACGCCTGCTCCAGGTGTTTTGTTTTGTTTTGTTTTGTTTTGTTTTTCTTCTTCCCTGAGACACAGTCTTGCTCTTTCGCCAGGCTGGAGTGCAGTGGAGCGATCTTGGCTCACTGCAACCTCGGCCTCCCGGGTTCAAGGGATTCCCCTGCCTCAGCCTCTGGAGTAGCTGGGAATACAGGCGCGCGCCACCCCGCCCAGCTAATGTTTTGTGTTTTAGTAGAAACAGAGGTTTCACCTTGTTGACCAGGAAGGTCTGGATCAGCTGACCTCGTGGTCCGTCCGCCTCGGCCTCCCGAAGTGCTGGGATTACAGGTGTGAGCCACCGCGCCCGGCCGCCTGTTCCAGCTTTTAAAGCGTTCATGCATTATCGATCACTAGATAAACGGGGGAGATTATATCTTCCCAGAGTCCTAAGCCACTCGGGTTGTGTCTCTGTGGCACAATTAGTTGTCGCATCCGAAAGGCCTAGCTAACTTTTGTATTTTTTGTAGAGAAAGGGTTTCATTATGTTGCCCATGGTGGTCCCCAAACTCCTGGGCTCGGGCACCTCCGAGGTCTCCCAAAGTGCTAGGATTACAGGCATGAGCCACTGCACCGGGCCTTATACAATGCTTCTAATTTCAGCACATTTAGCAAACTTATCTTCTGTGGGAAAGGTACCAAATCACATTCCAGTTTATTTCTCAACTCTAATAATGTCTCTTTCTTCATTTACTTGCTGACACAACAAATTTTCTCCCCTCCCCTACTTTTTGTTTTGAGACTAGGTGTCACTCTGTCACCCAAGATGGAGTGCAGTGGCGTGATCTCAGCTCACTGCAAACTCACCGCCCCTGCCACTCTGGCACTAGTGATCCTCCGGAAGAGCTGGAACCACAGGTGTGCACCATCAAATCCAACTTTTTTTTTAGAGATGGGGTCTTGCTCTGTTGCCCAGGTTGCCCCCAGGAGCTCCAACTTCTGGGCTCAAGAGATTTGCCTGCCTTGGCCTCCCAAAGTGCTGGGATTTCAGGTGTGAACCACTGCACCTGGCCTAACAAACTTTCTATACATGTGCCCATGATATTCTTTTCTTTCCTTTTTTTTTTTTTTTTTTTTGAGACACAATCTTGCTCTGTCGCCCAGGCTGGAGTGCAGTGGAGTGATCTCAGCTTACAAGCCTGCACCACCACGCCCGGCTAATTTTTGTATTTTTAGTAGAGACAAGGTTTCATCTTGTTGGCCAGGCTGGTCTCAAACTCCTGAACAGCCTCCCAACGTGCTGGTATTACAGTCATGAGCCACCATGCCCGGCCATGTGCCAATGATATTCTAATATGGGGACAAGTGCCTTTCCGGTTTAAGTAAGGGGGAGGTAAAACAGAAGGACATGGTGGACATTACACACGGATATTCAGTTGCATAGGATGGACAGCTAAACTTCTAAGACATGTTATTTTATTTTTTGAGATAGAGTCTTACTCTGTTACCCAGGTTGCAGTGCAGTGGCATGATCATAGTTCACTGTAAGCCTCAGCCTCCTGGGCTCAAGTGATCCTCCTGCCTCAGTCTCCCAAAGTGCCGGGATTACCAGCCTGAACCACTGCACCTGGCCGAGATATTTTAAAGTCCTCCAACATCTGTAATTGTTTCTTTTTATTTTATTATACATAATAAAATATATACATATTTTATTAAAATTATATGATAATAAATATATACAATTATATATTATGTATAATAAAATATAGTATATATTTTATTATATATGTTTATTTAAAAATATATATGTATTCTTTAGAGATGAGGTCTCACTATGTTGCCCAGGCTGGTCTCGAACTCCTGAGCTCAAGTGATACTCCCATCTTGGCCTCCCAGAGTGCTGGGATTATATGTGTGAGCCACCGTGCCTGGCCCTGTTTCTTTTTCAAACTTAATTTATTTTAGAGACATGGTCTTACTCTGTCATCCAGGCTGGAGTGCAGTGGTGTAATCATGGTTCACTGCAGCCTGAACCTTCCCAGGCTCAGGTGATCCTCCCACCTCAGCCTCCTGAGTAGCTGGGACTACTAGCATACACCACCATTCCTGGCTAAATTTTGTATTTTTTGTACAGACAGAGTTACATCATGTTGCCCAGGCTACTCTCCAACTTGCGAGCTCAAGTGATCCGCCCACTCCGCCTCCCAAAGTGTCGATATTACAGGCATGAGCCACTGTGCCCAGCCTGTAATTGTTTGCTGTGGTGACCAAGTCACACTGGTCCGGAGAAGACAGGTCATAGTGACCTCTTTGATAGCTTTCTGCCAAGTTGCTTATCCAAAGGGAGCAAAATCACAATGGTCCCAGTCATTTTTTTCTCCTCCCCTTTCCTCTTTTCTTTATAAATGTTGATTTTACTTTTATTTGATGAACACAATCTAATGCCAGTTCCTCTTCTATATTGATGGAGAATGAGCATGCAGACAAGTGTCTCTGTATTATTCCTCGACTGATTTCTTTCAGAGGCTATGTCCATAAAAATTAATCCATCTGACACCCATCATTGGAGCCAACAGAATCCTGCACCTAACAGGCCCCTGGTGCAGACCTGGATCCTTAGAGCCACTGGTTCTTGTTCCCTCAGTTCTTGTTCTCATGAGCAGAAATTGAGCTGTTTTGCTTTTATATACTAAGTATGGTCATTGGGCAAGTCCTTCCTTTCTCTATCTCCCTCTCTCTCTTTCTTGCATCATTGTTTTCTGCCATCAGTGGCATCAGTGTGGGTTTCTGGTTTTGATGTTATGAAGTGAAGTTCTGGGGACAATCTCTGTTGGGTGGTGTTTGACAAGGTGTTTGGTGATACATGACAGCTAATCTAGTCTGTGAGTCTTTTTTGATTGTCTATTCATTGTCCTGAGGATAATGGTATTTCTTGATATTTGAGACTGCAGCAATCAGAAGTTGCTCATATCTTGTCTTTCCAATGTTTGGTAACAATTTTTTGGGCCCGATAGCTGTCAATATCTGCAAGAGCGGCATCTCTATTATAAGGACGATCTTACTACTCAATGCCCCACCCACTCCCGCCACCTAACTTCATTCCATAGGAGCTCTTGGCTTTAACAAATTACTATACCTGAAAGAAATCTTAGTACATAAAGAAAACTAAGTCTGTGGCAGGTAAGGAGCAGTTTTCTTTGATTCGTATACTCAGGTTTCTAGTAGCTAAAAACCTCTAACCAGCTGAAACACATGTCCTTTAAGGATTAAGTTTAAATCACACTACAGAAAGGGGAAAAGAGATTTATATGATCACAGATAAGCAATGGAGTCAGCAACATAAGCACTTCTCACAACTATACAAATCAAAAATTTTTTTTGCTTAAGACAGAGTCGCGCTCTGTCACCAAGGCTGGAATGCAGTGGCACAATCTTGGCTCACTGCAGCCTTGGCCTCCCGGGTTCAAGTGATTCTTGTGCGTCAGCCTCCTGAGTAGCTGGGATTACAGGCGTGTGACACCATGCCTGGCTAATTTTTGTATTTTTAGTAGAGATGGGGTTTGGCCATGTTGGCCAGGCTGGCCTCGAACTCCTGAACTCAAGTGATCTGCCCACCTTGGCCTCCCAAAGTGCTAGGATTACAGGCGTAAGCCACTGCGCCTGGCCACAAATCAAATTTAATAATCTCCAGAACATCAAGGAAGTTCAGCTCTTAATGAAAATGGATGAAAAGAAATGATTTACTCACTTTTATACGCTCGGGAAAGAGAATGCCCTGCCAGACTCAAAAGGGTATCACAGAATCACTCAGATTTTCAGCACTGAGGGTTTTCCAAGGATCTAATGATGTTCCTTTTTTCAGTTTGTTTCGCTCACTGATAAGCCTTGTTAATAAATACCATTGCATCTGTTTTCACTTTAAACGATGTTACTTAACACAATTATTTGCTTTCGAATGCCCCCTAGATTGGTGGAAAGAAATTTTCTGATTTATAAATATATTTTCTTATGAAACCAATTGGCATACTCTTCCAGTGGAGTGAATAGATAAATTAAGTCTCTAAAACTTTAAAGAGATTACTGCCCCAATTATCTTAAGGACAGTAATAATTACGTATATAAAATTAAAATATGGAAATTAAGCAGGGTGTGGTGGCTCACACCTGTAATCTTAGCATTTTAGGCAGCTGAGGAGAGAAGAAGGATTGAAGTCAGGAGTTTGATACCAGCCTGGGAAATATGGTGAGACCCCTGTCTCTACAAATTTAAAAATGAGCTGATTTTAAAAAACTAGCCAGCACAGTGGCTCACATTGGTAGTCCCAGCTGCTTGGGAGGCTGAGGCAGGAGGATCACTTGAGCCCAGGAGATCCAGGCTGCAGTGAACTATAATTGTACCACTGCACTCCAGCCTGGGTGACAGAGTAAGACCTCAACTCAAAATAAAAGAAAATGAAGAATAATTTCTTGACTTTTTTTTTTCCCTGCAATGCCAGGCTGGTTGACTCACACCTGTAATCCCAGAAAATCAGGAGGCTGATGTGGGAGGATTGCTTTAGGCAAGGAGTTGGAGGCCAGCCTGGGCAACAGGGCAAGATGCCATCTCTAAGAAGTTAAAAGGCGGGCTGAGCTGGGAGGACTGCCTGAGCCCAGAGTTCCAGGTTGGTCAGCTGTGGTTGCACCAGTGCACTCTCACCTGGATGACACAGCAAGACACTGTCTATTACATTTTTTAATTCTACTTATGCTTTAAATGTGATGTTTCATTAGGGAAAAATTTTCTTGTTGAATTTGTAACATGAAAAAATAATAGATTTAGCTGTAGATTAAATTAATGGTATTGGCTGGGCATGGTGGCTCACGCCTGTAATCGTAGCACTTTGGGAGGCCGAGGCAGGTGGATCATCTGAGGTCAGGAGTTCGAGACCAGCCTGGCCAACATGGTGAAACCCCATCTCTACTAAAATACAAAAATAAGCCAGGCATGGTGGCTGGCACCTGTAATCCCAGCTACTTGGGAGGCTGAGGCTTGAGAATCACTTGATCCCTGGAGGTGGAGGTTGCAGTGAGCAGAGATGATGCCACTTCACTTTATGGGTGGCACAGTAAGTGAGAGTGTGTCTCTAAAAAAAAAAAAAAAAAGAAAGAAAAGAGAAGAACTTTTTCATGTGAAGAAAATGAGTGCTTTCAACTTAGCATGCCCAGAGCTAGGCATTAAAATGAGACAGCAACCACATCCTACTTCCTGCTTTCTAAAATCTTTTAAGTTAAAAAAAATTTTTTTTTTATTGTATTGAAATGGAGTCTCACTCTGTTGCCCAGGCTGGAGTGCAGTGGCAGGATCTTGGCCCACTGCAACCTCCTCCAGTCAGGTTCAAGCAATTCTCCTGCCACAGCCTCCCGAGTTGCTGGGACTGAAGTCGCGAACCACGATGCTCCCCTATTTTTTTTTTTTTTTTTTTTTTTGTATTTTTAGTAGAGACAGGGTTTCGTCATGTTGGCCAGGCTGGTCTCAAACTCCTAACCTAAGGTGATCTGCCCAACTTGGCCCACCAAAATGTGAATTATGACCACCACCGGCCACTTCCCCACTTTTGAGCTATGTATTCATCCACTGAAACTGCTTGCTATTGCCACAGTTAGCTATAAAGTAACCTAATCACATGCACTGGACACCATCTCTCATTCCCTGTAGCTGAACAATGTATAGCTAATCCCTAATCAATGTTATTTCTGTAAACCACTGGGAGTTCCTGACAAGCAACTTTCTACCAGCCAACTCCCTGTCTCCCTTTTTGGTCTTTACAAACCTGCTTGTAACAAAGGCCAAACAGAACCCATATGCAAGATTGCTTGGCTCTGAGCCTTCTGGGCAACTATCCTCACACTGGCTCAAACAAACTCTTTAAATCATATTTTGTGCTTAAGCCCCTTCCTTCTAGGTCGATGTTTTTGGCCCTGGGAGCAGGATTCAGAGCAACTTATCTCTGACCATCTGACCGTCCTCTCAAAGGCCTCCAGGGTGGCTACATAGTAGGTAGAATTTGATTGGTGAGATCAGTTTGCAGTCCGGGAAGAGACAGTCTCTGGTGTGTGTCTTTGAAGAAGTGCTTTTTCTTCAGAGAGAGAGAGAGAGAGAGGGCAGGTTGGTTTTTGTGCCTCACAGGGTGTGTATCACACAATAGAGTCATACATATTCAGCAGGTTTGGGGAAACGCCATTTCTGAGGGGTATTGAGCTCATGTGCAACGGGTAAACATATATGTAACATGCACCCCATATTCACATTGGGAAGGGATTTTAGCATTAAAATGAGGTGGAAATTGGCTGTTTATGTCAAAAGGTGAACTACTGGACACGAAGTCGGTTTGTGTGCAGTCCCTGTAACATGGCTGAAACTGGCTTGATATCTGCAGTTGCTTATCGGGAAAGAATGGAAGGCCACTCCTTTGTCCCATCAGAGCTCTAGTGATCTGGGTTGTAAATCCAGTTGAGAAGGGCTGGGAAGATTTTGACAATTTGCTTGCTAGCCCCTATTGTTAAGGAGTTTAGCAACAGTGTGTTTTTTTCTGTAGCCATAGGAATTCAGGACGTTGCCATGCCAGATGAGCCCTGAACCCTGGACCTGTAGCTAACTTTTGTTTCCTTAAACTTACAGTCTGTCTTAGTCTATAAGGGGGCATGTATTTTCATCTCTCAGATCACACCACATTCCTCCTGGACTGGGTGCCTGGCCAGCTCTGAAGCCCTCAAGTTTGGACTCTGAGAGAAAGAGTTGGGCAGTAGTAAGTGGGGAATCCTCCTGAAATCTGGACCTTCCCACTCTTTGGTTGAAGGCCTGGACTTTGCTTGAGTGTCCTTTCCAGCTCTCCCTTTCTAGAATGGAGGTTTTCTGTCTTTACCCTGTGGGTAAGAGGTTTGAGTCTCGGGGGAAATAACTGCCTTTTCCACCTCTGCATCAGGACAGAAAGTTTGGGTCACAGTCAGGCAAAGAGCTCTCCAGAGAGCTTCTGCCTTTCCTGCCTCTGTTCCTCAGCAGGAAGTTCTGGGTCAAGGTATTGGCAGGTAGGCCCTGGTGGTGTCATTTTATGTAGCATGTTGTTTTGAACATTCGGGCTTAGCTTTTCATTTGTGACTAATTCCTGTTAGTTCTTAACTGGAAAGCGCATGGAGGTGCATTCCCCTGCCCTGAAGAAAAGAAGTGATCTGCTTCCGCCAATCCATTCAGGTGCTCCAAGTGATCGGGGATGTTGCAGAGGTGTCGGGGTCATTACTCACCATGTGAAGGTGGCCTCATAGGACACTCCCCATCAGAAGAACATCTTTATGAACCCCCTTTCCTGCTCTTCTGGGAGGGTATATGTCGGACGGGTCCCTCATAGCACATGCACTCTGTGGCCACCTGGTGGTTAGAAACAGTGGGAACCACTGAGACAGCGATACACAACTCCGGTGTTATCTGTAGGAGTGACTTCATAAGCACCACACTGTGACCCAAAACACATCACAGGCCTTGGTCATCTGAAAAGCTCCTGAATTATGGGAAATCAAGCTTCAAAATTTAGCACACTGCGAAGAAACAACCACCTTTAGAAACATCAGCTGGGTTTATGTATAGCACTTATGAAGCGTCCTCTTGTAAATATCCAAGAAACTGGATCCACCTAACCAGGAAAACTGATAAGCAGAATGAAGAAAATGGGGATATTTTGAAATGCTTAAAATAATTTATTAGTGTGCACAATTGGAAAAATTTGGTTTTAGAACCAAATTAAATGGGAGACTTACTTCCAATAATACCTAGAAATTTCTAAAAGAACTGTGAAAATTGCCTCCAGTGAGGAAGTAAGCTGAAGGAGGTAAACTGACACGTTTTCTGAATTGAGAAATATTGAGGAGGCTTTGTCTCTTTCGCCTCCAACTGCTCCTTCTCCTCCTGCCCCTGCACCTGCATAGTCTCCCTTACCTGAGCCCTCCGGTTCTGCCTTGCCTCTTCTTCCATCACCATCACCTGAGGAAAGTCCCCAGGGCTCTGGCCCCTCCCCTGAAACTTCTGTTCTGACAGCCCCTTTCAAGGTAGGGGCTTCCACAGGAAGAAGGGAGCCTACCATTCTGTATACTGCTTCACCAAAATGTGAATTAAGAATATTATAAAAGACTTCCCTGGGCCGGGCGCAGTGGCTCATGCCTGTAATCCCAGCACATTGGGAGGACTAGACAGGTGGATCACGAGGTCGGGAGTTCGAGACCAGCCTGGACAACATGGTGAAACCCGGTCTATACTAAAAATACAAAAATTAGCCGGTCATGGTGATACATGACTGCAATCCCAGCAACTCGGGAGGCTGATGCAGGAGAATCGCTTTAACTCGGGAAGTGGAGTTTGCAGTGAGCCAAGATTGCACCATTGCACTCCAGCCTGGGTGACAGAGCAAGACTTTGTATCAAAATACATAAATAAATAAATAAAAAATAAAAAAGACTTCCCTGATCGAAATTTAAATCAATTTCCCCTTCTAATTCTAAAGCAGCCTCCAAGATCCTATAGGGTTTGGGAGAAAATTTGACTTAATTGTCCAAACTTTTAGCCCGAATATTCTGATTTTTATCAATTAATTCACATGTGGTGTAAGAAGGCAGGGCCACTAAATGGTTGAAAAGGGCGAATTGGAATAATTCTTTAGAGGATTTTTAAAAACAGACTAAAGCAGACAATGAAAGGGTCTGCATTTTGGCCAAATACTTCCATGTTGCCATTCCCCAGGTTGTTCCCAAAAATGTAGATTGGAGAATTCAGCAATGCACTTAAAAGGCCAAGCAAATCTGTCATTGGTATTTTAAGTGGTTAAGATTTATTGATTGATTGATTGAGACAGGGCCTCACTTTGTCACCCAGGCTGGAGTGCAGTGGCTCCATCATGGCCCACCACATCCTCAACCTCTCAGCTCTAGCAATCCTCCCACCTTAGCCTCCCGAGTAGCTGGGACCACAGGTGCATGCCACAATGCCCAGCTAATTCTTTGATTTTTTTTTTTTGTAGAGAGGACATCTTGCTGTGTTTTCCAGGCTGGACCTGAATGAACTTCTGGGCTCAATCAATCCTTCCCCTCAGCCTAACATTTACACTGGGAGCAGAGATGCATTTGGAGTAGGTGATGATTTTGGAATGCTTTAGAAGCAACATAGGTATCTGATTTCATCAGGTCAAGCCATCAAAAATGACCAATAAATCTCTGACCTCTTAGAAGCAATTTGAAGACCCAAATTTTGGCCATCATCAAAATTCGTGTTCATTCAAAATTAGACATTCTGGAGAGCAAGGACAATCATTTTGCTGATGCTGCAGCTAAGAATGCAGCTCTGAAGGTGACATCAGACACAGAACTCCTCGAAATGACCTTGCTGACTTATGACCCATTGAAGACTTCATTAGAAGTACAAGTGGGCTGGGCATGGTGGCTCATGCCTGTAATCCCAGCACTTTGGGAGGCCAAGGCTGGCGGATCACCTGAGGTCAGGAGTTTGAGCCCAGCCTGGCCAACATGGTGAAATCCTGTCTCTATTAAAAATACAAAAATTAGCTGGTGTGGTGACACATGTCTATAATCCCTGCTACTTGGGAGGCAGAGGCATGAGAATTGCTTGAACCTGGGAGGCGGAGGTTGCAGTGAGGTGAGATTGCACCACTGCACTCCAGCCTGGGTGACAGAGCAAGACTCTGGCAAAAAAAAAAAAAGAAGCATAAGTGGGAGCTCCCAAGCAGGAGAGGGATCTCTGGAAGGATAAAGGGAACAAATTTCTTCCAGAAACAGTCATATGGTATGGGCCCAATGATACACTCACTGATCTATCCCTTAGGCTTCAATTACCCTTTTACAGTACTTCATAAGCTGACTCATTGGAATTCAGACAAAATGTTGGCATGGGGAAAGCAATGGTATTGAAAATCATTGCCTATGATTGCAGAAAATGTTTAGTCTTGCCATACTGTCTGTCCCAAACATAATCCTGGAAAACCCCTTCATGGGTCACAGGGACATTTTGCCTTTGGGACCCTTCGAGACACGGCAGTTAGACTTTATCCAGCTGTCTCCATCTCAGGGTCACAGATACTTTCTGGTGCTAATTTGTATATGCTCACTGGGGTGAGCATTTCCATGCCGATGAGCCACAGCCCAAGTAGTAGGTAGATTGTGATTAGAAAAGGTAATTCCTCATGGGGGGTGCCATCTGAACTCCATAGAAACCGAGGAACACACTTCATTGGTCAGGTAATTTGATCCATTTGTAACATTTTTGCCTAAGTCTCAACATTTCCATTGTGCCTGTCACCCCTAATCCTCTGGGCCGATGGAATGCACTAATGATACAATAAAAACTCAATTGGCAAAGCTAACAGAAGTTTTTAACCTTTCTTGGACAAGGATCTCCCACTGGTTGTGGAAAACGTCCACACTCTCCCTCTTTGAAATAATAACAGGAAGACCCTTGCAGTGGTTAGATGAAGGCGCTTATGAATCTGCACTTCTTAAAGGTGACATTCTCCATTACTGCTAAGATCTCACAGAACTTACTAAGAACTCTACATTAACAAAGAATTCCATTCATAATGAACTCCTGGGAGATGAAAATATCAAAAATCTTGGCCTATAACCTGGAGATGTTGTTGTTTACTGGAAACAACATCAAATAAAATATTCTCCCCAAGACTGTTGGAAGGGACCACATCAGCTATTATTATTACTTTATATATTTTTTTGAGATGGGATCTCATTTTATTCCCCAAGCCAGAATGCAGTGGCACAATCATGACTCACTGTAGCCTTGAACCCCTGGGCTCAAGCCACCCTTCTGCCTCAACCTTCCAAATATTTGGGACCACAGGCATAGGCCACTGCACCTAACTGACAACAGGTATTACTGACCAATCTGTGCCAGTAAACATAAGGGCGTTGACACATGGATTCATGTTTCTCTTGTAAAAGGCAACCCTACCAGAGTGGACATCTATCAGTGGAGATTTTCACTTAGAGGTAACTCACAATCTTCCTGACAGAGATGGCAAGTAGCTGACATCTGGTGTAGTCCGCTTTCACCCAAGATACTGGCCTGTATAATCAGTTACAATTCCAGTGCTGACCGTGCCTGAGAGAGTTAGTCTCTTTTTTGCGGACTGGAATACATACACCATTAGGGCTCCTTTAAGTTGTAGGGGTTGTCTCTTGGTGGTTTTGGTAAAATCACCCTATATGCATATTCTCTTAAGATATGACACACTACTCCTCTTGCGTGTATGTGTATATACATATACATACATACATACATAGCAGAATACCTGTGATCAGATTTCTGTTTTACTGTCCCTAATTAATTTGATTACAGCAGGGAGGGATAATTCTCTGATTAGAATCTCACAAACCATTACCTCTGTGGGAAATTTGACAAGGTTCCAGGTTTGCCACTCAAAACCACAAACCACTTTTGACCATAATGACCCATTGGTACATCCTGTGCTAAATTTCACCTGTATTCCTCCTGATTGCACTCACGATGCAACTCAGGGTCATATCAAGCAAAACCTGTTTATCTAATCTGTCTGACTCACCCTAACCTTCCTGCTGCAAGTCTCAGTTTAACCCATCGTAATCGTATTGTCAAAATAATTGCCTGTAATCCCAGCACTTTGGGAGGCCAAGGCAGAAGGATCACTTGAGCACAGGGGTTTGAGACTAGCCTGGGCAAAATGGTGAAACACTGGCTCTATAAAATATATACAAATTAGCTGGGTGTGGTGGTGCCCACCTGTAGTCCCAGCTACTCAGGAGCATGAGGTGAGAGGATGACTTGAGCTAAGGAGTTCAAACCTGCAGCAAACCCTGATGACGCCACTGCACTCCAGCCTGGGCAACAGAATGAGACCCTGTCTCAAAAAATAAATAAATAAGCTGCGTGTGGTGGTGTGTGCCTGTAGTCCCAGCTGCTTGGGAGGATGAGCCATTGAGCCTTGGAGGTCAAGAGGTCAAGGCTGTACTGAGCTGTGATCTTGTCACTGAATTCCAGCCTGGGAGACAGAGTCCTTGTCTTAAAAAGTAATTATAATAAAAATAAAAAGTACAAAACCAACCAAACAAAAAATTGTTTCTTCACTCTGAAATAACAGTGGTTAACACCATGATGCCACTGGAAAGTTAAAAGAAAAACACTCCCTCCTGCTATCAAGATCCAACCTGCCCTCTTGCTCTAAATTTCTGACCCATGGTTTAAATGCCCAAAAGCTGATGTACTCAAGTTATAGCGCACCTACCTGTTTGGCGTTTATTTTTGTCTCTTGAAAAGATCACCATCCATGGCCCTATAAATGTCGAAGGGCATGGAATGATGAAGTGCAATGTCATTATTGTTATGTATCTCTCATCGTTTTACTTCTGGGAAAACTAATTTCATGGTATTCTGAAGAGTAGAGATGATTCAATAAGTGACAGCAGCTGTAGACTTAACTGAGGCCCCTCTCTCTCTCTCTCTTTTTTTTTTTTTTTTTGCCACTCTATGATGCCCTTTTTTTTTTTAAGACCGAGTCTCACTCTGTCACCCAGGCTGGAGTGCAGTGGTGTGATATTAGCTCAGTGCAGCCTCAAACTCCCAGGCTCAAGCAGTCCTCCTACCTCAGCCTCCTGAATAGCTGGGACTAAGGTGTGTGCCACTACACCTGGCTAACTTTGTATTTTTTGTAGAGATGGGGTTTCACCATGTTGCCCAGGCTGGTTTTGAACTCCTGGACTCAGGCAATCCACCTATCTTGGCCTCCTGAAGTGCTGGGACTACAGGTGTGAGCCACCATGCCTGGCTGTAATGCCCTTTCAATTGGACTTTTGGGCATTCTTAAAAATTCCTCAGTGAGGTGGCTTCTTTCCTCCCCTGTCCCCTGCTTGGGACAGGACTATCCGGGAATGAGCCTTTCTGGCAAAGAAGGACACCCTTGACTTAGCTTTTGATCATCGATGCTTTCAAGAAGAAAGATTAAAAAAACTTTTTATCTGAGGAATGTGAGCCCTTTCAAATGATCAGGCCCAGAGAGACGTTAAATCGAGACAGCAACCACTTTCCGCTCCTTCCTTTTGAGCTGCGCTGAGCTATGTATTCATCCGTTGAAACTGCTTGCTATTGCCTTAAGTAGCTGTAAATTAACCTAATAATGCCACACCAATCCCTATACCCCCATACCCTATAACTTAACAACATATAGCCAATCACCAAGCAATGTTATTTCTGTAAACCAATGAGAATTCCTGATAGGCACCTATCAGCCCACTGTCTGTCCCTGCTTTTGAACTTTAAAAACCTGCTTGTGGGCAGGGTGCGGTGGCTCACGCCTGTAATCCCAGCACTTTGGGAGGCCGAGGCAGGCGGATCATGAGGTCAGAAGATCCAGACCATCCTGGCTAACACGGTGAAACCCCGTCTCTATTAAAAAAATACAAAAAAATTAGCTGGGCGTGGTGGCGGGTGCCTGTAATCCCAGCTACTAGGGAGGCTGAGGCAGGAGAATGGCGAGAACCCGGGAGGCGGAGCAGAGTTCGCGCCACTGCACTCCAGCCTGGGCGACAGAGTGAGACTCCGTCTCAAAATAAATAAATAAATAAAAAATAAAAAATAAAAACCTGCTTGTGACAAAGGCCAAAGGGAGCTCAGATCCAAGCTTCCTTGGTGTGAGTCTTCCAGGCAGTTGTCTTCATGTTGACTCAAGTAAACTCTAAATTATATTTTGTGCTTCAGCCTCCTTCTTTTAGGTCAACATGTTCAACAACAGTAGAAGAAATACATAAGTTAATGTATATTCCTACAAAGGAATACACGTAGAACCAAATAACCATATGAATAACATGAAAAATTCATAGACATAGGACTGAGTGAAAGAAGTCAGACCTATGCCTCTGCTTCTGCAACCGCCTTTGCAAAAATTACAACTGGGACAATTACCACAGTGAAAGAGATCTGATCTAACTGATTCCATCTTGCTTCTAACGTACAAGCTGTCCTTGTTGATTGCTGGGCACAGGCCGAAATAACTTTGGGAGGAAATTAGTTTATGGTTTAGCTGTGAAACAAAGATGATAATATCCCTTTCCCAAAGCAAACCCCTTTCCTGCCTGGGGACTAGACTGCCTTTGCCGGACTAACAAATTAGCCACGAGATTAGAAATTATGGTTTAGGAGTCATGTAGCCTCTGGCTGCAAGATTCTAAACCTCCCCAAATTGTTCCTGGAGATCACATCGTTATTGGAAAACCTAAGATCAGTGCTTGAGATATTTTGCCGACCCTGCACTCAGTGGATCAGCTGGCACCAGCTAGACTGATAACCTGGCTCAGCTGGTCTTGTGGCCCCCAAGCAGGAACTGACCCAGCACAAGACCACAGCTTCAGCTCCCTGTGATTTCATCTCCGACCTGGCCAAGCAGAACTCTCAATTCACCGGCCCCCAATCACCAAATAAAGAGTGCAGCTCTTTATTGCAATTCCCCTGTGTCGAAAAATTGGCTCTGTCTAGGCAGCAGGCAGGGTGTACCTGTTGGGCAGTAACACTCCCCCCAAAACCCACTACAGACTGTGACTCAGCTTATATGAAAGTAAAGGGCAGGAAAAACTTGCCTGATAGATTTGCAGAGACGGGGGTGGAAACCATTAATAAGTCTGTGGAGTATTCTCAGAGTTTGGTGTTGTAGTCTACATATTAAAAGTAATCAGTTAAACACCTGAAATAAAACTTCTCCCAAATATTTTTGCCAAATTTGGATGACTGTGTTTCTGTCTTCGCAGCATATAAAGTGTTAACATGAGGTAAGCGCTAAGGTCTAGAGAAGGCAGTGAAGAGATGACAAACTCCAGCACCATGCCTGAATGTCCAGTGTGCTCTGCTGGGGCAGCACATTTTTGTACATTGCTGTATCTGAAAAAAACCCTACAAGATTCATGAAACTGGACGACCGTCTTTATAATACTCCTAGTGATAAAACAAGTAAGGATGGCTGGTTTGCAGTCATCTGAGCAGCCTCTCTAGTTTCATAGATACGGTTTCTCTCTGATATTGAACGACTTCCAAATGTCAAGCGAAATGCTACATCACAAGGATAACCGTATGTGAAAAGAACCGTTTTTCTTTGTAATCCTAAACTTTCTAGTCTGAGCTTTAAAAGCCATTATTTGAAGAAAAGCGCACAGGCTCCAGCTGGCCGCCAAAGGGGTCCTTTGCATCACAGGCTAAGAACCTACTTCTTTGGGAGAGACCAGGGACGGGGATGGGAGGGAAAGGAGGTAGAGTCAGGTGTCACTTCCTCCGCCCGCTCCCACAGCTGGTTGGTCGGCCGAGTGGCAGAGGGTGGGGCGGAAGAGCAGACGGGGACGGGAAAGGCGCTGTCGGTGACATCACAGATAGGGCGATTCCTATGCAGAGGAGGCAGCTCAGGGGCTGCTGCTTCACCACGAAAGATTTCTCGTGCTGTGGGAGCTAGTCCAGGACCTCCGGTTGGACGTGATAGTCCCAGCTGTGTGTCAGGGCTAGGAAGACTTGAGGCGGCATGGGGGCGGGGTGGGGGAATGCGCGGGCCAAGTGACCATGCGTGTAAGGGGTGAGGCGTATGGAGCTGTGGCAGGGCGGAGGGGCGTTCATTCATACTTACGTAACAGGAGAAAATACGGCCATGAAGTTGGTGTTTCTCGGGGGCGATTTCTCCATTGTACTCAGTATGTGCTGACTGACTCCTGTTACTTCCACATGTGGGGAAACTGGACTGTAATTTGTGGTGGTGGGGAATTGCGTTCGCGCTTTCTTCTGGAGGTTGTAGTGCAAAAAGCAGTTTGTCTACCAAGTGATACTTTCAGCTTTTACAAATGCTGAACAATATCCATGGTGTGTTTTCATGTCACCTCCTCTCCCTTCTTTGTTAGAAAAAAATGGAAGAGCACGTGGATGTTTTGAGATGAGAAGAGGTGCGTTCACCACCTTCACATCCGTGTAGGCTTGTTATTAAGGGAAAGGGAACAAAGGAGTCTCACTTATGTAAGATGACCTTACATGAGAAGAAGAAATTCGAGTTGGTGAAAAGAAAGAAATTCAATTTCAGCCGGGCGCGGTGGTTGACACCTGTAATTCCAGCACTTTGGGAGGCCGAGGCAGGCGGATCACGAGGTCAGGAGATCAAGACCATCGTGGCTAACACGGTGAAACCCCGTCTCTACTAAAAAATACAAAAAAATTAGTTAGGTGTCGTGGCGGGTGCCTGTAGTCCCAGTTACTCGGGAAGCTGAGGCAGGAGAATGGCGTGAACCTTGGAGGCGGAGGTTGCAGTGAGCCGAGATCGCACCACTGCACTCTAGCCTGGGGGACAGAGCGAGACTCCGTCTCAAAAAAAAAAAAAAAAAAAAAAAAGAATTCAATTTCAACAGTCTAATATCCTGGCATGCAAGAGAGAAATTCTAAGACTGTCTCAACTGTAGAAATGTTCAGGGGGAAAAAAAAATAGATGATTATTTATTCTGGTTCATTCATTGTCTCGTTGAGTTTGTCAGATGCCAGGTGAGGTGCCTTACATGTGTTCATAACCTCAAGACATAAAAGGGAAGGAATTTTAGAATGATTCAATGATATCACTGTTTTGCCTAATAAGCAAATAATTCAGTAAGAGACACTTATTAACAAATCTAAGAATAAAGTTTCCTTTTTAATCACAAAATTGCCTTTCTTCACATTATCTTTCTTTACATTCTTTGACAAAGTACCCCAACCCATCAATATTGTCTGTCTTATCCAAACTGAAGGATGATAATCCAGATTTAAGAAAATATCTATCAAAATAATGACAACATTGAGCATGTACTCAGTATCTGCTGGGTATAGGGCACAACAAATATCTCTCGAGTTAGTACCAGGCCCTGTGCTGAGGCCTCCACTCCTCTCTAGCTCATGTGCACTGAGCAGCGAGTGCCACTGGCTCCTTGAAAGCTGCTCAGGCACCACCGTTTTTAATTCCCATGAGAGGTGCTGTGTGCACCCCAGTGGACAGATGAGGGAATGGAGAGCAGGTGGATACCCTTGGGTAGAGAGCCACACACGGTTGGATCCAGCTCTAGAAGGACTGACCCCTTCTCTACCCGACTCGAGAAAGCCCACTGTCAATGATCTCGACCTCTACTTTATGTCTCCTATTTCTGGAACGGAAATGACCTCATGCATATTTCAAATTCTCCAGCTTTTCCTTGCCTTTCCTCCATCTTGTCAGTACTCAAATAGGAAAATGATATATACATATATGTTGATCATGTACACTTAATTTCCTAGTTGTAATTAAGTATAAATTTCAGGCAAAATGCTAACTTGAATATATTTTTATGTTAAAACTTTTCCATATTTCATTCACTTATCATTAAGAAAGCAAAACCTTTGCACAAAATATTGTGCTAGCCTTTGCCAGGAGACAGAAATGAGGAGTCATGGGCTGTGTTCTTCAGGAGTGTTGAGTTCTCCCGAGAGTGTGAGAATACACAGGTAAGCCCAATAGAAAGCAAAAGTCAGGGCCGGGCATGGTGGCTTATGCCTGTATTCCCAACACTTTAGGAGGCCGAGGTGGGCAGATAACTTGAGGTCAGGAGTTCGAGACCAGCATGGCCAACATGGTGAAACCCCATCTCTACTAAACACACACACACACACACACACACACACACACACACACAAATTAGCTGGGTGTGGTGGGATATACTTATAATCCCAGCTACTTGGGAGGCTGAGGGAGGAGAATCACTTGAACCAAGGAGGCAAGGGTTGCAGGAGGCAGTGATTGTGCCACTGCACTCCAGCCTGGGTGACAGAGCAAGACTCTTGTCTCAAACAAGCACACAAACCAAAAGCAAAAGTCAGATGACTAAGGCAGTGATGATTGCCACATCCTGTGCAGGGCAGCCTCTGGGATTTGTCTCAAAACACACTCGATCTAGTTCTTGACACCCATTGAGATGGATGCTAGGCTATAGGCAGTTACATAAGATCTTCGAGCCTCAGTTTCCTTATCTCTGAAGTGAGAAAAGTAATATTGATATTGTTAAAAAGGCATGAGATTTAGATATAAGTAAAATACTTGTATTTTACTTAGTACCTACTTAATCTTCATGAGTGAGTCAAAGAAAGCAAGTAGAATTAGGCAGGGTTGTGCGGATGGGGAGAGGCAAGCTGTGCTAAAGACAGGGGAAATGAGCAGATAGAATGCAGGGCTAAACACAGATACCTACAACCTGCAGCAGAGGCAACTTACTGAGCTTAACATAGAGAATACAAGTCACTTTAAAATGTACAGCTCTATGTTACTTTTCACCCCACAATAAAATCGGTCCTTACCTAGAAAAAAGTAAAGATAAAAATGAAAGAAAAGAGGAGTGGGGGAAGTAACATACATGTGTACACATTCAGACCTTTGGCATGCTTACATCAGAGAAAGAACACTTTTGCAAGTTTTCTTGGCACAACGAATGGTAATAATTTTTAAGTCTATTGTGTCTGTCCTCTATTCATATATTCTGAAACTGCTGACCTCTCATTGACAACAGTATGCCTCTTTTTCTAAGATTAGAAATTTTAAAATGTAATTGCTGATAATAAACAATGGACATTATGCTAAGCGAAGTGAGCCAGTCAAAAAAATAAACAAACAAACAAACAAATAAATACTACATGATTCAACTCATTTTAGGTTGGTGCGAAGTTATTGTGGTTTTTGCCATTAAAAGTAATATAAAGTACCTGGAATAGTCAAATGTATAGCAAGAGAAAATAGAATGGTGCTTGCCAGGGGCTGGAGGGAAGGAGAAATGGGGTTGTTGTTCAGTGGGTGCAGGGTTTGAATTTTGCAAGATGAAAGGGTTCTGTGGCTGGATGGTGGTCATGGCTTCACAGCACTGTCAACGTGCATGATGCCACTGACCTGCGCACATCTTAAGTGGTTAATGATCAATTTTATGTCATATGTATTTTTTCACATTTGAAAACACTTTTAAAAACCATTCTTGTTAGTATTTAAAGAACTGCAAGATAAAAAAGAGACATTTTTAAAGTATGAAGTCGTGTGCACAGGTTCATCGTCTAGGTGTGTACTCATGAAAACAAATCTCTTGTGTTGCAGATAGCGCTCGTTAAGGTTGATTTCTGCATATCAGTGAGAGTTCAGTGATCTTACATTCAACATAAATATGACAACTTTACAAACATCCCCCCTTTCATCCACTGAGTGAGTTTATCAGGAAAACCCAACAAAATCCTTCCAGGCCTCCCTGGGGGAAGGTACACAGTCCCCTGCTCTGGAGGAGGATATGGAGGCAGACATGGAGGCTCACGCTGGTTAAGGGAGTTTTCCAAAGTCACCAGCAGCAAGGAACCTTCTGAAACTGCTGACAAGTCCGTGCTTTTCCCACGTCCACTTACATTATTTAGGCAAGACCCACTTGGGAATCTATTTTTTCAAGGCATGATCAGGACTAGGTTCAGGATGGTAGAGCAGGGCTGTTTTTGAAAGGCGGTCTCTTTCTCTTTGCACCAAGCTTTCCGTAAGTGTGTGGGTGACCCTCCCAACTTCCTCCTCTCTCCCACAACCACGGCCCTCGCTGCTTCTCTCAGCTTCTCTCCCCGACACCTGGACACTCCTCTTGGCTACCTGGGGGCTGGCATTGTGGGAGGCAGCCGACGCCAGTGGGTGCTGCTGGGATCCCTGCCCACACCCAGCAGTTGCCTGGAGATGGAGGTATGCCAGGTATGTGGGCCAACAGCTGCAGAGTTGCCACTGACAGGCCGGAGGAGGATTCTTTGTCAGTGACCGCACCAGCCCGAGCCCCTGCCAGCTGTCCCACTCAGTATGCCCTGGCTTCCAGGGCCCCAGCCAAGGAAGGGTGTGGACATGAGATACAGTGGTGGCCACAAGGCAGGGGTCAAGGGGAAGGCAGGCTGATACTAGCAACAGAGTAAATGACACTTCAGAAGCGTCCTCTCTTACAAACAAGAGCAACTGTGTGTGTCCCAGTGAGTATGGGAAGCTCAGTCTCCTAACATCATTCAAGGGTCTCCAAGTGACTGTGCATACAGTTTTAAAAATATCACCGAACTTGTTTTTCTTACCCCAGCCATTTTTTATAACTATATCTAGGGAATGGGTTGGTTGACTCTAAAGAGCAAGGAACTAAAGAAAAGATAAACATGGAAACTTCAGGTTTTCCAGAATCTTGCATATTTCCCTCCTGTTTCCCTATTATAATTTACATTTAAAATGGAGAGATATGCAGTTTAAGCCAAATGTTTTGAGTCATGAAAACAAGTGAAACTCTTTTGCCTGTTCATGATAAACCTTCAGATTTGGTGACTTCTTTCCACCAAGGCAAGATAGGTTTCACTGGGGGGAACTGAACTGGTGTGGTGTTTTCTGCCTTCAGCCATCTGTGTGTACACTGTGACAATATGGTTCTGTGCTGGATGAGACGCCTACTATTTTTTCATCTCACTAAAGAGCCTCAAGTTTCTCAGCTACAACCTGGAGGAAGTGTCTGAAAGCTGATTTTCTGATGCCCAGCCCCAGGACTCCTTTTCCACTGCACAATATCAGACCTGCTTTTCTCTAAATCAGAATTAGGCACGCCACTCCAGATGAAAGAGCCCTGTCGTTGAAATGCCTTTCTTTGGCCCACACTAAGTATACTTTCTGCTCCCGTTTGAACTCAAATATCATGTATATTTTAACAGCTGCTGCTCTCTAAGCAAACTGATTCACATAGAAAATCCAGGATTGTGACTACTTATTTTTTCCTCTCTACACATGAAACAGATTCCCTGGAAACACAGTTATCTTAAGTAGCTGGAATTGTCTAACTTCGGTTACTTTATTATTTACAAATCAGCCAGGTGAGAACAAGAAAGTGAAAAGCAGGAAACAAGATAGGCAGAGAAACAAAGGGCTCGATCGCAAGAGCAGCAAGATGCCTGAGCAGATCCACAGGGTTCTCAGGGCTGCAGCAAAAATCAAAGAACAGTCGTGGTCTCAGGGCTCGCCATAGATCAGACCACGGCTTCCAACCATGCCACAGGCTGTCTGTGTGTTCCCTGCACACCATTCATTTTTGTCCTTCTATTTTAATGATCTGAAACCAAGTTTGGGCCATGTGTAGACAGGCCATTCGGAGGAGGCTTCGGGAAGGAGGGCGCATCTGAGACTAGTTGTAAAAGATGAGGAGGATTTCCACAATCGCTCAAAGGAAAGGGGCATTTCAGAAAGAGAGAAGAGCACGTTCACGTGAGCCCAGATAGGAGCACGGGGCACACGCATGAAACTTCCTGATGCTGGAGTTCACGCGCACGGTGGACGCAGGCTTGGCAGCCCGCAAGGCAGAAGGGGAGGTGGTGCGGGAACCGTGGCTGCTCTAACAAACTTGAGCTCCATTCTGCAGGCTCAAGGAGACATGGAGTAAGAGGAAGGACTCCTTGGGTGCATTGTTCATGGGAGGACAAATTAGAAAGGGGATTATCTCATGGCAGGCAGCCACTTCCAAGTAGGGAAGTTGGAGAACTTGTTGTCAGGTGGAAGAAAAGAGAAGACCCTTGAAAAGTCATCCAGGAATGGTTGTGCACAAACATGGAGTGTGTTCCTCATGCCGTAATTCTGATCCAGGTCCTTGACTTAACTGCATTGCCATTAAGCTTGTGAAAGGAGGGGAAAGCCGGTACCAGACATTGGTTATATGTCCAATATCTGTTTGACTCTTTGTTAGAGGTATTACCTAAGTTATCTTACAATACTCTAAAAGCAATTCTACAAAGCCCATTGCTATTTTACAGAAATGAAATCTGAAAATGAAGAGGGTCAAGTAAACTAAGAAGTCTACGCATAACTAAGAAGTGGGGCTGCCTGACCCCAATCCTGCACTCTTGGCTCTTTATGACTTCACTTGTGAGCGTACTGAACTCAAAGTGTTCTGGACGTCTCCAGGTAGAGGGCTCTAGGAGGCAGCTGAGTACGTGAGTCTGGAACTTAGGAGAGTTCCAAGCAGGGCTGTGGGTGTGGGATGGGGTGCATGGGAAGGAGGTTGTCAAAGCAAAGCAATGCGCAGCTGCTTAGGGAGGGGGCACAGGAGAGTGGCCTGGCCCTTCTTAGATCATTGTCAACTCAACTTGTCTAAATGGCTTTTATGACCTCAGTTATCACCTGTATTAATTCTGGCCTACGGTATTTTGCAGCTCTTCGGGAAATAGTGATCCTTTGTTTCTGACAAAGTTCTTCTTAAAGGGTTTATTGTCTTATTTACTAGGAATCATGGGGAATAGAGTGTTACACAATGTAATTTTTTCCCTAACAAATAAAGCTTATTTTTATAAATTCCAGGGCTTTTAATATGAATCATACTTAACTATTTTTCTATATTTTATTACATTGTTTGCTTCCTCCCTAAAGACAGTATATTTTCGTATTTTCACAGAAAAATGAGAAGCCCTCATTATGAACATACCTGATTAAATTGAGCATTTCCAAGTGATGACCACATCATTGCTCAAGTGTTATGAGGCCACAGGATGAACTACTGCCCCCCGAATGATGCTAGAATGCTATGCCTTTATTTATTTCATTGGACAACTCATTCAACATATATTTATCAAGTGACTCCTATAAGAGTAACTAAAATAGAATTTCCTGCTTTTGTAGACCTTACACTATAGTTGATTCCATAGTGTCTAGTGTTTCATGAAATTATACAAAATGTCACTAAATCTAAAATGCCATTGGTAATGACATACACTTTTTAATGCACTAATATTAAATAATGCTGAAATTAAGTTATGCTTATCTAATGTAAGATACATTGCAGTTTCAGATACTAAAATTTGAACAAGTAGACAAACGTTTCTCTTGAAATCAGTGAAATCTCTATCTAAATCCCTTAGAATAGGGTTAGCACATAGTATTCCAGGAAAGCAAAGCACTAATTATTATTGTTGTATTGTACCCAGATTATGTTACTATTTAAGTTTCTACTTTATGTAAAGCACTTTTTCATATGGATATTCTTTATCCTAACAATAGTCCATTTGTTACACCAGAAGTAACACCAGATACTTCTGAATAATAATGGCAGTTAAATCTGTGGTTTTGTGGAATTTTGCTTATATACGTCACTGTTGATTCAAACAATATAGCAGCTCTAAGAACATCTGTGCTTCCAGCCTCTGCATTTTAACCATGAGAGCGTCATTTCTCTCCATGATGCTTAAATTAAAAATCTAAATATTTGGTAAATTTTACGCTTTTCTAGAATATGTTTTGTTAATATTATATTCTAGTAAAAACAAAAAATGTTCTTAGCCTGAGAAAGATTTTACAGAAAAGCTTTAGTAAACATTACAATTCATAATGTACCTGTACTACACTAAATGTATAATGTACTTATACTAAAGAGTGAACTATATTATCTTTGAGTTTAGGAATAAGATGAGTAAATATGTAAATGTAATAATGAGAAACTATTAAAATGCAGTAGTTTCATTCAATATGATTATTTAAATAGAAAATCCAAAAATTTGTACATGAATTAAATTAATAAACAAATTCAATGAGTTTACTAGATACAAAATTCATTGTCCAAAGGAATTGTATTTCTTTACACCAGCAATAATGTTAAAAATAATAATTTATAAGATTAACTTCATATTTCATGAAAAGTGTAAAATTTAAGAATAAATTTAAAAATAGTGTACGAAGTCTTTATATACAATAATATAAAACTTTTGTACAATAATAACATCAAAATGAGGGGTGATATGTACTACGTTCATAGGCTAAATGTCTCACTTTTATAATAATGTTAATTCTCAAACATATTTATATTATGCTTGAGTTTGACAAAATTATATATGTTTGACAAAATTCCAATAAATTCCCAATATATTTTGTGGAACTTATAAACTACACAATAAAGGCCAAAACAGTCCTTAAGAAAAACAAGTTGAGAAGACTTGACATATCATGAATGATTTGAAATTTACAAGTTTCAGAATTTTTCCCATTGTAATATAAGCATGTAATACTATCACATTTCCCCAAATGGCTACTTTAAGTGCATCCTACAAATTGTGATATATTCTGTTTTTGTTTTCATCTTCGTTCTCTTTGAAATACTTTCTAAGTTCATCTGTGACTTCCTCCTTGACTCAGGAATTTTTAGAAGTGTGTTGTTTCATTTCAGAACATTTGGAAATTATTTATTTCTAGTTTCATTTAGTTGTGCTTAGAGATCATACTGTGTATGATTTCTATTCTTTTTAATGTACTGAGACATGTTTATATAGCCCAGATTATCATCAATTTTAGTGAATGTTTTAAATGTGCAGTTGCTAACAATGTCGTTTATATTGCTGTTTAGTGGACTGTTTTAGAAAAGTCAATCAGGTAAATCTGATTAAGAGTATTGTTTTTCTTCTATCCTTTTGCTGGTTTCTTATCTCATTCTATTAGTTACTGGAAAAAATGGGTTAGAATCTACAATCTCCAACAATAACGGGATATATCCATTTCTTTTTTCTGTTGTATATTTCTTCTTTGTATATTTTAAAGCTCTATTGTTGGGCAATATTTGGTATTGTTGTGTCTTCTTGTTGAATTGACCCTTCTAACGTCATGAAATGTTATGCAATTCTGGTAACATTTCTTATTGTAAAACTTACTATTTCTGTCCAAATCTATGCCCTGTCCCTTTATAAAATAATGATGATAACAAATAATACATAATATTTATTGTTTTTTTATCTCCCATTTTTAAAAATTCTGGGGGTTTAGATTATTTGAATTTATATAATTATTGATAAAACTAAAATCAAATCCACCATCTTTCTATTTGTTTTCTACTTGTTCCATCTTGCTTCTTAATTTTATTTTTATTTTTTAAATTTTTATTTCATCTAGAGTTTACAATACACATCTTTAACTTATCACAGCTCTATGTAGAGTATAAAGAATGTACAGCAGGAGAAGTCAGTTTTTCTCTTCTGTCTTTGCACTACCGTTACCATACATTTTACTTCAAATGCATACATTTAACATGTGCCACAAATCCTATAACACTTTATTGTTTTTGCTTTAAATAATCAATTATCTTTTAAGGAGAAAAAACAAAAAATTTTTACATAATTTTTATATATTTCTGGGACTCTTAATTTCTTTTTTTATAGATCAAATTTTCCTTCTGGTATTATATTTCTTTTACTAAAGAAATTTTCTTTAACACTTATGTAGTGCAAATGTGCTAATAATGAATCAGCTCAGTATTTGTTCTGAAAAGTCTTTTTCTTTTTGGAAGACATTTTTGCTGGTTAAAGACTTCTAGGTTGGCAAAAATGTTTTTAAGTACTTTAAAGAACAGCTCTATAGTTCCTGGCCATTTTTTTCTTACTTACATAGATTCCGATGAGGAGTCTGCAGTATTCTTGATTGTATGTAGTGGGTTTTCCCCTCATGAGCTGTTCTGCCCCTCTCTCTCGGTTCTCTTCTTCTGGCACTCCAATTACATATACAGTCAACTCCTTGACGCTTTCCCAAGTGCAGTGCTGGAGACTGAAGATTTAACTGCAGTGAGCTTGGACTGTGAGGATTGAAGAAGAGCCAAAAACTGACAGACAGTTAGTAATCATTGCAGATGTTTGCTGAACAATTGCAAGGTAGCAAGCACTATTCTACTTTTCACCTGTATAATTCTGACTTATCCTCAAGATTTATCTTGAAATTTTCCAGAAAGCCTTCCTATACCATCCTTTCTCACCCTAACCTCTACCTCACCTCTCACACTAGGTTAGGTAGCCCTCTTTTTTAGTTTTACTGCACACTGGGTTTCCAGTGTTTTTAAATCTACTACTCTTTATTCTATTAGATCTTTTTATTTTTAATCTCCATGGCTAGGCTGTGAATTCCATGAGGGCAAAGACTATGACTATTGTCTTGTGTCATAGTCAAATGACCTCTCCTTTGCCCAGGGTGTGTTATATTCTCAATGTGTATTTCATGAAAGAATGGATGAATAAATGGTGTCTCCCACTAGACTGTGAGTTCCTCAGAGGCAGAAATTACACTTTTCCCATGTTTTCGTGACCCTGGTTCAATATATATGATTGATGAAAAAGAGCGTTTCAGCAATTACAGTTTTTGTTTGTTCGGTTTTTGTTTTTTGTTGTTTTGAGACAGGGTCTCGCTCTGTCTCCCAGGCTGGAGTGTAGTGGCACTATCTCAGCTCACTGCAACCTCTGCCTCCTGGATTCAAGTGATTCTTGTGTCTCAGCCTCTCAAGTAGCTGGGATTACAGACGCAAGCCACCATGCCTGGCTAATTTTTGTATTTTCAGTAGAGATGGGGTTTCGCCGTGTTGGCCAGGCTGGTCTCTGACTCCTGACCTCAAGTGATCTGCCCTCCTTGGTCTCCCAAAGTTCTGGGATTACACTAAACTCATGGGAGGCAGAGAAGCAACAGCTAACAGAAGTGGGGAGGAGGCACTGTAACAATTACATTGAGGGCCATCTTTGTTTAACATCAGAAGATTACAGGATAAAATTATTTGTCATGTAGTGAGCCAGGGGTAGAAATCCTGTTTTAAAACTGATTTTCTGTGGCTTCAGCAAATCATAGAATTGTCAGAGCAATTACCCAAAGCTCCAGTGGAAAGGAAGAGTCAGTCTTGTTTGCATACTTGCCTGGCCTAGATCTTTTCATGATCTTTCTGCCACCATGTTGCTGAAGAAATCTTCACTCCCTTTGCCTGTGTGTGTTTGGGATGGAATTACTGAAATCCTTCCTGAATTCTGCTTACGTGAAATGTTACTCCATGTGGTTTTAATTCCATGAAGATATTTCCTCCAGTGCATGTGAGTTATATAGGTTGGGAATAACTAGAAAAAGAGATGACTGGGTTAGAAACAGGAAAGAAAAGGAAATAAAATGCAACAAAACAAAGCACAAAGCAGGCAGAACAGGCAGAGGTCCTGCAAAAGGGCTTTGGGCAATGGAGGGGAGTGCTGAGAGCCAGACGATGTCTGGACATGCATTAGAGGGGGTGAGTGCAGGTCTTTGGGGAATCTTCCTCTGTCCCTGTAGTCACACTGTCCATCAAAGGTGGCAGACAGGCCAGGCACAGTGGCTCACGCCTGTAATCCCAGCACTTTGGGAGCCCAAGGCAGGCGGATCACCTGAGGTCAGGAGTTCGAGACCACCCTGGCCAACATGGTGAAACCATGTCTCTACTAAAAATACAAAAATTAGCCAGGCATGGTGGTGCACGTCTGTAATCCCAGCTACTCGGGAGGCTGAGGTATGAGAATTGCTTGAACCCAAGAGCCGGAAGTTGCAGTAAGCTGAGATAGTGCCACTGCACTCCAGCCTGCGGAATAGAGTGAGACTCTGTCTCCAAAAAAAAAAAAAAAAAAAATTGGGGGACAGACAGACTTTCACTCCATCAACTCAACCAGGAATCTTGTGGAGAAACCCCCTAAGAAGAAAAAAAAAAGCAAAGGAACATGTCTCTCAGTGGGTGTATTACCCACGAGGAACGAAAATGAATGTACGGGAGTCTGGTTGGAACAGACAGAAGGGGAGATCCTGAGAAGATTCTTCCAGCAAAAGATATTAACAGGAAATGGGCTTCAGAGAACCCAGTACATGAAGATGTGCAAAATGCCTTGTATAGCCTTTTTTAGTTTGCCTTTATTGCTGTATTGTAATAGATATTAAAATAGATATTTACGAATGTCTTCAGGGTGAGTCACAGCTCTTGTTTCCCAGCCCTCCCTTTCTCAAGTCTTCCATTCCTCCATTGCAAGTTTTCCAGCACAGATATTTTCCGAAGCTGGATTCCTGTATTGGGGAAGTTGTTCTGCACTTTAATCACCGACTTGTACCTACACAAGGGTAGAGGTTGTAACTCGGGAAGCTAATGTAAAGAGAAGCTGTACCATTCAACCTATGTATATGAAAGTTGTCATTTTTACTTTACATGCATTTATTTGCTTACAGAAAATTGCATAGTGCAGCAAATCTATAAAAAGTCAAGCTTTATTGTCAAGAAGCTTAGAGTGACCAAAGACAAAGGGAGACCCATAATATGCTCATTACTGCTTACACTTTTAACTCGAGCTAATCATATTCTTATGTTCGCCACATGTACACATTAAAGAAAATGTCAGTAATTACTGAAGAATTTAACATAATGAATCCATGTAAAAACAAGGGTTTAATTACAGCATTTACACAGGTTACAAACTCTAACATGTCTTTGTATAAGAGACAATCAGATCCATACATTTTGTTTTCTAAGCCATTTTGGGGAGAAAAAAAAAACAGCCCTTGATATTTGAGTCATGCGAATACTCTGAGGTTCCAAGATAGTACTCTGGCATTTTTCAACAAGGTCTTTTTCCTCACTATGGAGAAAGCGTCAGTCGCAGAGTTCACAGTGTGTAGTCACATCACTGAGAAATGTGCATGCATCTGACCTCACACCGGGATACTTCTCCCTGTGTGACCAGTTCCAAAGACGTCTTCTCAGTTTAGTTCCAGGACAAGCTAAAGTGAAATGTTGACTTTCAGTTTCATCAACTGCTGATGTTGACCGCACTCCAATGATGGAAAGAGTTTGAGGTCACAGCAGTTACTGGGCCAGGGAGCCTATTTTCCTCAGGAATCCAAGAGAATCAAACCCTCAGTATGGACCAAGAAGCAATATGGACTTATCTGATCTACAAGATGAAAAGTATTCAAAATTGGCTTTAAAAAATAGTCAATTTGGTTCTGGAAATAAATTGTGAGAATTTGTGTATCTATTTCTATTATCTTAAAAAGTAGGCACATATCTAAGTGTTACTAATATTGAACATGTAGACTGATTCTGGACTCCCCACTCAGGCTGCATGTCAGAGATTTGCATAGCAAGTGAAGTCACTGGTTTCCTGAGAAATGTGGGCCCTGCAGAGGGCAGAGGAGTTCCCACAGCCCCACTCACAGGATCTCTTGCAGCTATTGTTAAATGGCACAGTCATCTTAACCACGGCAAGTGAATTCAAGGATTAAATTGTCTACTTTTGACTAAACTAACTTCACAAAAGGTTAAGTGGGTTAAAAAATTTCCTACAAAGAAATACCAAATTTAGATAATATGATAATTCAAGAACAATAAAATATCAGAGCTACATTTCTTCAATTAGTTGTATATACTCTTGTCAACCACATAGCAAAGTTGAAAACAATGGCAAGGAGTCAGCCAAAAATTCTACATTATCATCAGGAAAGCATTTTGAAACATAGGTTATATCCATTGTCATCAATGTCAACTCACTCTAAGTGCATATTCTAACTCAAGATTTGAAGTTGATGATAGTATTCAGGAAACACGTACGATTTGATTACTCATGCTCAAAGCCATGTGTTATTGAACCAGCCACTTTACAAAATTTAATTAAACTTAATGATGAAAATTAAAAGTCTCTCTGAAAGATCTTATCAAAGAGCAAAAGACAAAAGCCACTTACTATTGGGGGAAATGTGTTCCTTATAATATGCAAGCTTATTTTCCCATCATTTTGATCAAAACAGAAGAAAAAATATATGAAAACATATAATAACAAGCTTAATAAATAAAACATGCAAAAATATGGTGTGTTACTTATTTTAACATGAATTTCTATGTATTTACAGTTATCTGAAACAAATATAAAATAGTTTGGATCCTTGTGATTGGTCACAAACTTAGAAAGCCTGCCTTTTACATGCAGCAAACTTTTAAAATTTTTGCATATAACAAGCTTTTAACTGATTAAAGTAATGCCACTCTAGTTATTTATGAAATACATCAAAAAGGCCGGGCATAGTGGCTCACACCTGTAATCCCAGCACTTTGGAAGGCTGAGGCGGGCAGATCATGAGGTCAGCAGATGGAGACCTTCCTGGCTAACATGGTGAAACCCAGTCTCTACTAAAAAATACAAAAAATTAGCTAGGCATGGTGGTGGGCACCTGTAGCCCCAGCTACTCTGGAGGCTGAGGCAGGAGAATGGCGTGAACCCAGGAGGCGGAGCTTGCAGTGAATTGAGATCATGCCTCTGCACTCCAGCCTGGGCAACAGAGCAAGACTCCATCTCAGATAAAAAAAAGAAAAAGAAAAAGAAAAAGAAATACATCACAAAGTAGATGGTATTTTATTTGGATTGATAGATTTATCATTTATAAATGCTTTTCTGTAGTATTCATTTTGTCCATAAAGCACAAAGATGCTAAATCATATACAAATTCTTCCAGGTACTTGTCAAGTGAGTTGATTTTTGTTTTCTAACTATGTAGAAAGTTAAATTCATCAGTTGCTTTTCCAGACGGACCCATTTCAGGTCTCTTGACTACCATCACCTATGTGAGCAGAAGGATTCAGGGGATCCTTGGTGGACTGCTGAAGAATGAAGCATGTGCACCCACTTTACTTCTACACTTTGGCAGCTGTAGAACAGAGACAGTGGTGGTGCAGGATACATCCTTGTATCTGGGAATTAATTCCTTTCCGAGGTGTATACTACTTAGCTTTGTGAGTAAAATCTACGGGCTTCAGTTTCCTAGTCTTGCTAAATTGGAAACATGTTAATATCTATGATTGTAGCACATCACAAGTAAAGATAAATGAGAAAATGAATGCTTTGGCTGGGCATGGTGGCTCACGCCTCTAATCCCAGCACTTTGGGAGGCCGAGGCAGGTAGATCGTGAGGCCAAGAGATTGTGACCATTCTGGCCAACATGGTGAAACCCTGTCTCTACTGAAAGTACAAAAATTAGCTGGGTGTGGTGGCGGGTGCCTATAGTCCCAGCTACTTGGGAGGCTGACGCAGGAGACTCACTTGAACCTGGGAGGCGGAGGTTGCAGTGAGCCAAGATCACGCCACTGCACTCCAGCCTGGCGACAGAGCGTCACTTCATCTCAAAAAAAGAAACCAAAACAACAACAACAAAAAAAAAAAACAAAAAAAAAAGGACAATGTACGCTTTGTAAACTTTAAGTCTGGGAGATGGCTAACATTATGGGGGAAGACTTGGCCAAGACAGCCCAGAAACCACAAGGTGAATAACAGCACCCAGAACAGAAGGTCCACCATGAAGATAAGGACTTAATCTATCAAGAAGGATTAAATGTAACCGTCAAGAGTAGGCTTGATGGAGGAGGGTGAATCTGAATGGAGCCTTGAGCTACAGTGGGGTTTACAGCACAGGCAAATCCTGGTGACTGCATGCTAGATGAAAGGAATTGGACAAATGAAATAACTGAGGCAAGAGAGGTTGGGCATGTTCAAATTCGTATCTGTATTGCATAGATAGCTTAAGAATGAAGTAGAGCCAGAAAAAACATACTAGGCTCAGATTACGGAACATGTTTAATGCTAGGCTAAGAACTGTGTTCTATTATATATGCAAAGAGGATCCATGATCGCTTTTTGAGCAGAAAAATCACCCAACTTAATGTGATGTTTTAGGAAGATACTTGGGTAACAATGTGGAAGAGGCACTGAAGCAAGCAGATTGAAGGCAGATGCTACGTATAAGACCATAAAGCTTTTGCACTGGATTTGATCAGTTGCAATGAAGGCTTGAGTTTGGATGGTGGTCTTGGGAAAGTTCAAAAAAAAAAAAAGGAGAGGAGGGGTCATAACTGAAAGCCATTTTATCATGACTAAGAAGTCAAACATGTTAATAACCTCAAGAGATATTGGAACAAGCAGAAAATATTCCTCTTTTGTGCATCCATACTTTTATTAAGAAAAGCTTAACGGAGCTTGAGATATTTATAGAAAAGGCCAGTACCATGAGGAAGGAGATGTGTTCCTAGAACACGTTTAAAATGATAGTGTTCTTTAATTTTAAAATATGATGGAGGATAGTTTTCGAATTTTGTGTCGCAGTTTTTGCAAAGTTACTAAAGTTTCCAAATTCTAAAACCACATGGTAGTCTGCCAGCTACACATGGAGCAAATTACCTGCCCTGATGCTCCCCACTTGTAATCCAGCCAGCAAGCCCTGTCTCTCCATTCCCAAGGCTGTGTTCACAGACAGCATTGACGAAAACCAGCCAGTTACCCCCAAACCCCTGCTGCACAGTATCTGACAGATATCAGTGATGGCTTATCTTCACTTGTCTTTCAACCCCTCTTTATTCTCTACCCCTCTTTATGCACCCCAAAACTGCCAATATCTCTATAAATAGCATGACTCTGGCTTTCCTGGGCTTGAACTTCCATGTGGATTTGGCTGACGGAGATCAATGTAAGGTGATGGGATGCTCAGAAGACAGAGAGTTGGGGGTAATTTTCTCCCACTCCTTTTCTGCAGTGGGAACTGCAGTGATGGCAACAGTATTCTCTCCATGAAAACACTCCCTGCCTCCTGCTATGGTTTCAATATTTGTGTCCCTCCAAAATTCATGTTGAAACTTCATCTTCAGTGTGACAAGATTAAGATGTGAGGCCTTGAGGAGGTGATCATATACCCTTATAACAGCACTCTAGGGGACTAGCTAGATCCTGTTTGCTTTTATATTCCTTCTGCAATGTGAGGACACAGCAAGAGTCGCCATCTTGGAAGCAGAAAGCAACCCTCTCCAGCCCCCAGATCTGCTGGCACCTTGATCTTGGACCCACAACTGTGAGAAATATGTTTTTCTCAATAGACTACATAGCCTCCATGTCCATGTTCTGTTAATGCAGAACAAACAGATTAAGACATCCCACAGTTCGGGCATTGACCAGTGCCCTCTTTGCCCACCTTTGCTGCTGGTAGCCTGTCTTGCAGATACCCAGTGGCTTTACTGAAGGGGAGGTGGCTTCCTGGAGGTTCTCACACAGTGCGAGCTGAGAGATGGCGTGCTGCAGGCCTGGAGCACTCCTCTCCAGCATGCAGAATGACTGTGGAGCAATGACCAATGTATGACTCTGTCTCTTGTGTGACCATGTGCTCCAGTTTTCCCAGGACATAATAATAATAATTTCTAACATAATTATTAACAACAACCCCTTTCACCGTCAAAAGTGACCTGACTTAGATAACTGAATTGTAAGTTCACTCCACCTTTTCCACAAAGCCAGAATACTAGAACACACGGTCAGAAAACAAAAGGGTGAAATTCGGTATGACCTCCCTCAGTCTTACACTGATGGGATCTGTATTTTTCATTCTTAATTCCTTATACTCAGTGTGTTGTGAAGTCCTAGGGCCAAGGGAATAATTTTGCATCAAGAAACATAGTCCTGGTTTCGTTCAATGAGAACCTGAGACTGTTCTATAATCATGTTGGGCTTTTCATGTTACGAGATAGAGAATTCCTATTTTGAACTGGCATTTTACAGTGCCGAAAGGATGTTGGAGTGTTTGTATACAATGGGAGCAAAGAAGATTACATCTAGAACATGGGCAATTTACTGGAGCTCCTTAATTCACTAGTGTCCAAAGATAATGGTTAGTGGGAAACTGTAGCTGTAAAGGATTTGCAGTCTATTGGAATGAAAATTTTGGTCATACTACTAGTTTAAAATTTCTGATAGGGAAAGGTGTTGGTAGAAGGTAAAGGGAGCATTGATAGGTGATTTGAAAAAATGAAAAAGAGGAGCTGACTATCAACATAGAACATAGACCAACAGCAGAGGCAGAACCTATATCAGCTATTGTTTACTTGTGCTGATTAATGCCTTCCTTCCCTTTATCATGCTGCCTGATCTGAAGAGTACTGGTGGAACTAACATTACAACCTAGGTTCCAGGTAGGGGTATGAGTGAGTTGATACCAGCCCACCACCATACAGTGGCAGGTGCCCTTTGTAAGTAAGGAGGATAGTAAATGTTATCCTCCTTACTCTACCATTGCACTGCTAAGTAGGCTTTTATTTTGCTGTATTTGCCACCTTTAAAATTTATCCTTCGCATCGTAGTCATAACAAGTGAGGTAATTAATGAGGCTTCCTTACCTTCACTATCTTTCTTCACCTTTGACATGGTAAAGTTTATTATTTCTATGTTATTGGGGCATATGACATTTCCAGCCTATTCTGTAACCCTAATCCACATTTGGTTTCAGTCTACAGTAAAATACATTCAATACTTACAACTTTTTTTTTTTGCTGTATTTTACCAAAGCATCTTCCTTTAATTGGTTGTTATTGTTTTCCTTCCTTCTGTAACCAAATGTATTGCCCTTTTTCTCCACATACCCATGTTTTTGTTCTCTCAAAAACATTAATGAAAATATTTTTTCCTGAATTCTTGCTTGATAAAAACCGCAACAAATTGTAATATATCATGTCTGCATAGTAAGACTAGCTTGGCTGCACATAAAAATCCTTGGTTGGCATTGAGAATCTTGTTGGTCTTCCCTCATGACCATCCAGCTTCAGTACAGCTAGGGGAGCCAGGACAGCCTTCTTCATTTCTCCTGTGAGTGACTTATTCTTTTTTTCTGGCTGCCCAATAGATACCTTATTTTTTTTAAGTCCAATACCTTCATTAAGATGTGGTTCACTTTTTGCCTGTCATGAATGGATATACCTTGCTTCTGATATGCCCTTTTGAAAGGTAGATTCAAGTCTTCATGCATTGCATGGAAGTGTTCTTGAATTATAATTTTGAAGTATTTGTTCTGTCTCTTTTGGTTTCTTCTTTGGATGTTCCAGTAATGTATGTGTTCAATCCATTTGTCGGTCTTCCATAGTTCTCATTTTCTCTGTAATACTTGAGTTTTGCTTTTCAGATGTTTGCTTAGATAATTTTTGTATAAATGGGTATCTATTTCCTTTTATTTTTGTAATATACTACTAAATGGTTTGGGTTTTCCTAGATAACTACAGAGGTTCAGAGAGAGAATTAAGACAACCTTCTGGGCCTCACACCAGAATGGCTCTTTCCTACTGGGCTGTCACAGAGACAGACTGCTTCCTGCAAGTATGGCTCCTCTGGTGATTCTCTGTGTGGTTGAATCTCCCTTGTTCCTCCCTTGAACAAAACTGGGTCCAGGAGGGGACTTTTTCTGGTAGACTGTGTACCCTGGTTCCCACTCCTGTGGTTAAAAAAAAGGGGTATAAGTTTTGAACATGGAAATGAACTCCCAAATTTTCAGGGAGTACATTTTGTTGGTGTTTTCTGAGATTATCAGCCATTGGCCTCACTACCTCCATACTTCATTTACTCCCATGTGGCTTGTGCCTGATTCCAACTAGATTTAGTCATCCCTACATAAGTTTTGAAATCTTTGGATTCTAACTTTTTCTAGTTTCACTAAGGATATATTTGGTTCTTTTTTTCTCCATTTTCCTTGTTGCTTTTTTATGTGTTCTGGAATAACATGAGGAAAAATGCTGACTTTTACAGCCTGTGTATACAACTACCTCTACAGAAAATTTTAAGATATATATTAGTTCTTTATATTCACACAATAACTTTGCAAATAGTCCTAGTGTACAAAGCTTATTCCGATATCTTGCTGTGTTTTTAAACAAACATATATACATATATGCTGTGATAGCTGATGTTGAGTGTCAACCTGATTGGATTGAAGGATGCAAAATATTGTTCCTGGGCATGTCTGTGAGGGTGTTGCCAAAGGAGATTAACATTTAAGTCAGTGGATTGGGAGAGGCAGACCCTCCTTCTATCTGGGTGGGCACCATCTAATCAGCTGTCAGCACAGCTAGAATAAAGCAGGCAGAAGAAGATGGAAGAACAGACTTGCTGAGTCTTCTGGCTTTCATCTTTCTCCTGTGCTGGAAGTATCCTGGTCTCGAACATCAGACTCCAAGTTCTTCAGCTTTTAGACTCTTGGACTTACACCAGTGATTTTTCAGGGGCTCTCGGGCCTTTGGCCACAGACTGAAGACTGCATTGTTTACTTCCCAACTTTCGAGGTTTCGGGACTCAGACTGATGCACCACTGGCTTCCTTGCTCCTCAACGTGCAGATGGCCTATCATGGGAATTTATCTTGTAATCATGTGAGTTGATTCTCTTTAATAAACCCCCTTTTATATGTACATCTATTCTATCAGTTCTGTCCCTCTAGAGAACCCTGACTAATACACATGCATACACACATGTGGTCATGCAGACATGTATACATGCATGCACACATATGTGACCACATGAACATGCATACACATATGTGATCTTTGCCATTGTGGATGGCTAGGATGATTTTTCTCAGGAAAGGTATCTGTGTTATTAGAAAAATAGCCCTGGTTCTCATCCTAAAGTCATAAAAATCAGGAGGTAACTCAGTAAAAGGAGACACACACACACACACACGATGTTATATGTATAAGTGATTTAATATTTTATATATATAATCAAATCCTTGAAATTGCCCTTTGTATTAATCAGTGTTCTTTATAGAAACAGAATCAAGAGTATATGTGTGCATGTGCACGCATGTGTGTGTGTGTGTGTATATATATACACATATATATTTAATACGTGTGTGTGTGTGTATATATATATATAGACAGAGAGAGAGGGAAAGAAGGAGAGAGAGGGAGTTTATTATAAGAAATTGGCTCATGTGATTATGGGGGCTGAAAGTCTCACAATCTGCCATCTGCAGCTGGAGACCCAGGAAAGACAGTGATGTAGTTGAGAGAACCAAAGTATCGATGGTATAAGACCCAGTCAAGAACAGCACAGGGGGCTGATGTGTCAGCTCAAGCAGTTAGGCAGAGGGTGAAGTCACCCTTCCTGTGCTTTCTGTTCTATTCGGGTCTCAATGAATCGGATAATGCCCACTCACACGGTGGAGGGCCACCTGCTTTACTCAGTCTGCTGATTCAAACGCTAATCTCATACAGAAACAGCTTCACAGGCATAACCAGGACCCATGTTTAGTCTGGGCACCTCATGTCTAAGTGAATTTGACACAAAAATTATCCATCATACCCAGAGTTCTTAATCAAAGTTTCAATGACTGAGGCCAGTCCTGGGCAGCTAATGTTCGTCCAATATTGCGTCTAGTTTTACCATCCCTTCCGTTTGCCAGAAATAGAAACAGAAAATGTTCTACATGTTTGCACCACCAAATAATGAATAAGCAATCAAATGCCATTTTGATTATTGACCTTCTAGCTTTTACAAAACACAAAACTTGCACAAATAAAGATACTATTGGAAGCCAAGGAACCTAGAGACACATGTAAATTCTCTTTATCTCTGCTCGATGCGTAAAGTATTCTTATTTAAGAGTAAATTTCCTCTTGTTTCAGTGAAAGATATTTTTAACTGATATTTTTACCTTCAGCAAACACATAAACGGTGAAAGTTATCCCAAACATTGCCATTTTCAATTTCCAAAGGAGCTTATGCTAATTTCAGAGGCATCTCTATGGTTTATATGTATATTTAATATATAAGGCAGGTCCTACTATCTCTATTTTACAGAAGAAGAAACTGAAGTTGGAAAGATCAACAAGCTTACCTGAAGTCACAGGGCGGGAGAGTAAAGGAGCAGAATTTTCAACCTAAGTTTATATGATTCTAAAATTTTCCACTACCATGCTACTAAAAGAAATTACTCAACTAGTTCTTCCTGTTCAGGTAAGTCAGTTCAGACTTTGCTAATTCTGAATAAAGGGGACAGAAGTTATGATGCTGTAACTATTTGACATAGACTGTGTTAGATTAGAGATGAGAGGCAAAAATCTGACCCTAGTATATTTGCTTTCATTGATTCCAATGTCATCTTTAGGTTTTTGTATATTTCTTTCTGATTTTAACATATGATCCTTTATTTTCTTCTTACTTTCCTCCCTTCCTCCTCTCTCTGTCAAATTGTTTTCCTCTTCCTCCTCTTTTAAAAATTCTCAAAATTTGACTATAAATTGCTTTTTCTTCTTTGCTCCTTTTCACAACTCTTTCATTGCCACAAGGCATTCAGGTAGAAAAAAAGGCCAAGGTAGTCTGCAGTGGGCTAGCTATTTACCCAATTGACCCACCATATCTTTTACATAAGCAAATAAATTAACAAGTTATGTAAATAATTTATATTCAAATATTCAGAAATGTCTTAGACATGTTTAACATGCTACCAGTAAACTCCTTTTAGGAGGAGACCACATGCAGCTTTAGAATAGAAAATAGAAGAAAGGAAAAAAATAAACAAATGAAGGTTTTTCTCTGCAGTCTTTATGCAAGCAACGACTTATTTCTTAAACTCTCCCCTTTGTGGCTATCACTCAAAGAAAATAAAGAAGAAAAGCTACTGGCTTTCTAGTTTAAATCACAGTCTCATTATTCTGTAGGTGAATGGGGAGGGGGATTGGAATCGTAGGTCCGAGTGGGCAGTAACTTGAAGTCAATGGAGATATTTACAAAACAGAAGCACAATCACGATCCAGCAGTTCTGGAGCTGCTAACTTTTTCTGCCTTTTTCTAAATGTCCAATAATAAGGTTCTAATGGAGACTGAAGATCCATCACCTGCTCCACATCTCCAGGGGGCCCATGTGTGCATCGCAGTGCAGATCATACATGCTTCTTTCCCCTCCCATGGCAAGGGGAATACTGAATGATGACAACTCACATGTGTAACCCAAGGGCTTTGCTTGGGTTTGCAAGGACTAGTGCACAATACATTCTTTGAGTGTTATAATAACATTAAGTCAATGCACGAATTATAATCCCTATTTCACAAGTACAAAAACACATTCAAAGAAATTAACTTCCTTGCTCACCAAACAGTTATTGACAAAAATTACAATATTTATGTTTCTTTTGAAAAATATTATAAAGATTCTCAAATTGTCTAACCAATCATATTATCCGTATTTGTCTCTTCTCAAGCTGTTAATAAAGACATACCCAAGACTGGGACATTTATAAAGGAAAAAGGTTTAATTGACTCACAGTTCGGCATGGCTGTGGAGGCCTCAGGAAACTTACAATCATGGTAGAAGGGGAAGCAAATATGTCCTTTTTCACATGGCGGCAGCAAAGAGAGGTGGGAAAAAGGAGGGAAAAGCCCCTTATAAAACCATCAGATCTCATGAAAACTCACTTACTATCAGGAGAACAGCATGGAGGTAACTGCTCCCATGATAAAATCACCTTCCACCAGGTCCCTCCCATGTCAGGTGGGGATTATGGGAACTACAGCTCAAGATGAGATTTGGGTGGAGACGTAGCCAAACATATCGTTATCTTGATAAGATATTGCTTTGGATTGAATCGTGTCCCTGCAAAAATCTTATGTATAAAAGTTCTGATCCCTGATGTGACTGTTTTTGAAGACAGGCAGGGCCTTTAGTAGGCACTTAAGGTCAAATTAGGTCATACGGGTGGGACCTCAGTCTACTAGGACTGGTGGCTTTATACTGAAAGAAAGAGACAGATGTCTCTCCCCTCGACCTCACATGTATAAAGGCCACATAAGGAAAAAGCAGCCCAAGCCGGTAAGAGGCCCCAACAGACGCCAAACCCTTCCAGCTTCATGATCTTGGACTTCACTGCCCCCAAAACTGTAAGAGAATGAAATTCTGCTGCTTATGCCATCCAGTCTGTGGCATTTAGTTACGCCAGCCTGCACTGGCTAATGCAGATATTCAGAATCAAATGAGTCATCCCAAGCAATTTCTCAGTATATACAGCACAGATTTCACCTTCTAAACTCACCCTTGTCTTCGCCTTTTTTTTTTTTTTTTTGAGACGGAGTCTCACTCTATCGCCCAGGCTGGAGTGCAGTGGCGCTATCTCGGCTCACTGCAAGCTCCGCCTCCCGGGTTCACCCCATTCTCCTGCCTGAGCGTCCCGAGTAGCTGGGACTACAGGCGCCCGCCACCACGCCTGACTAGTTTTTTTTTTTTTAATATTTATATTTTTAGTAGAGATGGGGTTTCACCGTGTTAGCCAGGATGGTCTCAATCTGCTGACCTCGTGATCTGCCCGCCTCGGCCTCCCAAAGTGCTGGAACTACAGGCATGAGCCACCACACCTGGCCAGTTTTTCTTAATTATTAAATAATCTTTCACTGATTTAAGAAATATTTTCATATGGTTCCTATTCAGGCCCAGGCATTGTTTTTTTGTGCTGCAGACAATGTGTTAATAAAAGCTGTCCAGCCTTGTTAGTACATCATGATATTTATATTTGACAAATCCTCTACTTAGATATGTATCACCTCCATAATTTTTTGGAACACATAAATTTTTTGAACCAAATGGAATAAAAAGCTAGATATATACGTATAATGAATATATTTGAAACTTTGTACTTTGCTTTACAATTTGCAAAAGAACATCATATACAGTGTTGTATTTGAGTCTCCCTTAAGCCCTATTAAGAAGAAATTTTTCTATTTCTGCTGTTCAGTGAAGAAAATGAGCAAAAAAAGGTGCAGCAACTTCCCAATATCCCATATTTACAAACATAAAGGAGTGGGACTTTAAGGTAGACTCTTGGTGTCCACGTTTGTGCTCTTTATGCTTCATGACACCAGGTAAAGTGCAATGAGCACAGCAAATGTGCCCCCTCAGGAGCCAGCTAAGACCTTCCGGGGGCTTCTCCTGGAAGTACAGAGTCTGCGACCCCCATCCTAAATACACAAGCATTGGCATCACTGCCTCACAGTAAAACAAAACAAAACAAAACAAACAAACAAAACAACAAAGAAAAAAACAAATACAATCTGTTCAGCAGAGTAATTGTACATAACACAAAAGAACTTCTGGGAAAAACACGGAAAGGATATTGAAGTCAGAGGCTCAGTCATGTGAAAATAAAAGGTCTTGTTGGGTGCCTAAGTCTTGTCTTTGCTAACAGCTGTTTTCGTGCAATACCAGTAAACCCAGCCAAAGGCATTCTAGTGAGCAACACAGGAAGACTCCTATACACTTCAATTTTCCAGCAATCCATAAAATTGAAACATAAAAATAGGATTCTATTTCCCTTGTTCATTCTATATCTTACCAGAACTTATATTTGCATATGTGTAGAAACTCAAGGTTTACAAAGCATATCCACGGTCTTTATTGTATTTGATGCTCCACAAAATGTTGCAAGGGACTCAGACAAAGTCTTGTTTGTACTATGTTACAGGTAAGAATGCTGACATGTAGAGGGGCAAGTACTTACCTGATCACGTTGTCTTAGTATGATGAAGCCTCACTTAAACCCATGATCTCATGTCTTCCCTTAAACTGATGCACTGAAATACAGTCAGGTAAAATAAAGAGTTAGGGGCACATTTTAAAATACATTTAAGGTGCATCAAAGATTTAAACCAATCACTTGTAACATCTCTATTTGTCAAACTCATTGGTGATCATTAGCATTTAGAGAGACCCAGGAAAATCGCAAGATTCTAAATAATTTTCAAACCATAGTAGAGGATACTTTGTTTACTGTTATTTATGTATTAAATATCTTTTAATATACTATAGCTTTATAAGAACAGATAATCCATTTTTGGAATTTGTGTTTTAATTGGCCAAAGAGTTAAATCCATTTTTTCTAGATCCTCTGGATAATTAGGAATCGGTAGTAAAAAGCAATTGCACTTTTCCAATAAAATAATATGCTCAGTTGTTCAAACCCACATTCTTGATAAAAACAACTAGAAATTCTGCATAAGATAGAAGAAAAAGAAGATTTTGGAGCAACAAAGAGCATACAAGATGGTAAGGAATTACAAGACCAAAATCTAAGTGATGTCTTGATCTCAGAAAAGAAAGCTAAATGTTGAATTCCCTTTGGCCCTTGGAGAATTCATGAAAGCAGTGAATTTGAGCTTCAGTTTTTCAGTCTCTGTGGAGTGATATGGAAGAAGGAAAAAATCTCAAGTCCCCAGCAACACGCATGTGATAATAGAAGACTTTCCCCCTATGAAACAAGACCTCCAAAGAGCTATAATTTCACAATAAGCATAAACCAAAAGTAAACCCACACTACCTCACTCCTGCTTCCATGTGTCGGCAAGGAAGTGTTCGTTGGTGCTAAACAAAGCATGGGGAAAATGCTGCTGTTGCATAAATTACAATCTCAAAAACTCAAGCTATAAATTTAGTTTAAAACAGTTCACAATACCTAATAGAAACAAATGTGCAGTTCCTCCTCATCCTGAAAGAATCTCCACAATAATATTCCAAGGAAAATAATGCACTCACAGCGTATGTATGTATCACCTATATGATGTATATAGCTGATAGATAAGTACATATGTATCATATATATATATACATATAACCATTACAGAGAACTAGAAGAAATAGTGGAGAAAGAAACAGTTCTACAAAGACCCTAGATTTAAAAATAATCAGAGAAAAATGTTGTAAAACAGCTCTTCTCATAACGTCCAAAGCTAGAACACACTTGAAACAATCTCAGCAAAAGAAAGCTGTCAAATATGCAGCCATAAAAAAGGATGAGTTCATGTCCTTTGTAGGGACATAGATGAAGCTGGAAACCATCATTCTCAGCAAACTATCGCAAGGACAGAAAACCAAACACGGCATGTTCTTACTCATAGGTGGGTACTGAACAATGAGAACACTTGGACACAGAAAGGGGAACATCACACACCAGGAGCTGTCGTTGGGTAGGGGGAGGGGGGAGGGATACCATTAGGAGATATACCTAATGTAAATGACAAGTTAATGGGTGCAGCACGACAACATGGCACATGTATACATATGTAACAAATCTGCACGTTGTGCACATGTACCCTAGAACTTAAAGTATAATAATAATAATAATAACAATAATAATAAAAGAAAGCTGTTAAAAATGACCAGCATAGAATCTCTCTTCCCCACTGTCAGACAACATTTCAGTGGTCCCTGTAACTATTGCTCTGGTCCTGAATAAAATCTTTCTCGCCATGCTTGAAAAAAAAAAAAAACAGAATTGCAAAATATGTCTCTGACAAAGGACTAATATCAAGAATCTACAAGGACCTCAAAGAATTCAAGAAGAGAAAAAGAAACAACCCCATTAAAAACTGGGCAAAGGACATGAACAGACATTTTTCAAAAAAAAAATGCAAGCAGCCAACAAACACAGGAAAAAATGCTCAGAATCACTAATCATTAAAGAAATGCTCATTAAAACCACAATGAGATATCATCTTAGTCAGAATGGCTGTTATTAAAAAGTTGAAAAAAGAAAAAAACAGAGGTTGACTTGGATGCAGAGCAAAGAGAGAATGCTTATACACTATTGGTGGGAATATAAATTAGTTCAAGCTCTATGGAAAACAGTATGAAGATATCTCAAAGAACTGAAAACAGAACTACCCTTTGACCCAGAAATATTCATAACTGGACACCTACCCAAAGGAAAACAAATCATTATAGGACAATACCATGACAATAGCAAAGTCACGGAACCAACCTAAGTCTAACCTATGGGTCCATCAATAATTGATTGGATAAAGAAAATGTGATATATATACACATCATGTAATACTACACCACCATAAAAAAGAATGAAATCATGTCCTTTGAAGCAACATGGATGGAGGTGTAGACCATTATTCTAAGTGAATTAACTCAGAAACAGAAAATAAAATACTGCATATTCTCACATACAAGTGGAAGCTAAACAATTGGTACACATGGGCATAAAGATGGAAATAATAGACACTGAGGTTTCCCAAAGGGGAGAGGATGTGAGTGTTGAAAAACTACCTATTAGGTACAATATTCATTATTTGGGTAATGGGTGAACTAGAAGCCCAATCCCCACCAGTATGCAATATACCCATTTAACAAACATTCACATGGACCCCTTGAATCTAAAATAAAATAAATATTTTTTAAATGACTGGAATGTGTGAAAAAGGAAACAAAGAACATTTCTAAAATAGAAAGATGCAAAAAATAAATTTTTAAATGCAATGGCTGTTCACTATTTTGTAGTAGCTAAAGTAGGTACTAGTGAATCCAAAGATCAGTCAGAAGAAATTATGCAGAATGCATCACAGCAAAACAGAGGCAGTGAGACATTTTACCATATTTTTACTTGGATTCCTAAACAAAGAGGAGAAAGAACATAGAACAGAGAAAACGTTTGTAAGTAATATTTTAAGATAATGACTGATACCCTACATCAAAAGAAAGCCAACGGGAAGTTCCTAAATCTATAGAGGGTACACAAACATAAAACTACACTTGAACATGTCATGGCGAGTTGGACGAACCAAAAACAATAGTAAAACCAAAGAACAACCACACACATGCATAAATCCACAAGGTAGTGAATAAAATAGCTTACTTTCAAGGCAGCAGAATGGCATTGACCACTAACTACTCAACAGAAATGATGAAAGACGGATGCCAGAAGAATGAGATCACCAAAGTGCTAATAAAAAATAATTGCCAACCTAGAATTTCTAGGACCCACTTTTTAAGAGTAGGATGAAATGCAGACATTCTTGGGCAAACAAAAAAAGAGAGTTTATCTGCAGTATATCCTCAGAAAAGGATGTAATTAAATCAGAGAAAAAGATGAGGATCAAGAAGGTAGGAAACATGCAAAAATCATGACAAGTAGTTTTTGCCATTAAGAAAAAGATGAAACTAATTAATTCCACAAAACAAGTCAAGAATAACTCGTGAATTAGAGGGAGCAGAAATGGAGTTGCCATCTTCAAAGGCACTCGTTTTCAGGAGATGTATACAATTTTTGGAAAAACTTGTATTTGAAAAGTTAAGTATGCATTTTGCAATTTTCAGAGAGTGAAAGAATAGCAACAAAATACTTATAAACTAGGAAAGGAAAAATCTTGAATAAGAAAATAATCTATACCAAAAAAGCCATATTTAAGTACTATGTTTATTTTGTTAAATTAATTTAAATTTTAAAAAATTATCTTCACTCTATGCAATAATATTTGTGAAATTTTGACTCTGGTGTGTAAATTAACTTGTTTACTGCATTGAATCCTTTGTCATTTTTGTAATACTTTGATTATCTCCATCTAAATATTCAAACATCACCTCTTAACATAACCAGTGGTACACTTTCCATGATTTAGATATGGTGGTCTGACTAGCGTTGAAACTTGAGAGAAGCTAGCCTCAATAACAGGACCCAGGGATAACCATCTAGTTCTCCAGCGAAGGGCCTTAAGCCTTCTGGGGGTCCACATTGTTGGTTACTCACTAATCAAAGATGTACCCGGCCCCTAGTTTTCTCCTCCCTGACTCAAGTTCATGTCATTCAACTCTCTGCCTGGTTCACGGACTCATGGTATTCTGCCCTACTCCTGCTGCTTGGCTATCCACCAGTTACCAAAAGCTGAAGCTGATGCAACCACGTGAAATTTCTACAAGACCCTCCCCTCTTTGGGCTCCCATCACATTATCACTACTGCCAGATGTCATCAGCGTGAGAGAATCAGTGGTGGTCCACAGGAGCATCTTGTTGTCCCTCCCTAAATGATACCAGCACCACTTTCCTCCCAAAATCAATGCTCCCAACCACAATACCCCCCTTGACTTCACTTGTGTTCCCAGCAAGCCATCAAAACTAGCACCAAGGCTCTCTCTAGGAGGCTATAAATATGTATGTTTTCCTTTTTTCTGTCTTTAAATGGTGAGTTAACACAAACAGACCTACGTACACCAGACCCCAAGGTATCAATCTGGATCCCTTCACAGGATCCTTTTCCATTCACAGAACCAAGAAAAAAAAGCAAACTCTGAAGCCCAGCCCTTCCCTCCTCTATTCCGGAGCAGGCAGCTGATGGGACGCAAATGGGGCTGCTGAGCTTCAGGGTGGAAATGGAAGCCAGTGCCTTGTGCTCCTTGTGATGTGAAAAGTGTTGCAGCTGCGCAGAGAAACAAGAGTTTTCACTGGACACAGTGCAAGGAGCAAGCAGGATGCCTTTCATGGACAGAAGCTGCATCTGTCTATACTTCAGCCATTCAATCAACAAACATTTCATGATCATCAGTTACTGCTATGAAAGGTAGATGCTGAGGGTAAAACAAGGAACAAGATGAGAATGCCCCACTCCCATATGGCACATGTAAAAGCATAAAAGTCTATCTGAATCATTTTTGAAACAGAAGGCCCATGACATTGCCTGCTGAGTCCACATTGGCTCTTGTTTGTGGATACCAGCACATATTAAAATTATCTGAAATATTCAGTTGTGAGCCCCCTCCCCTGATATGGTTAGGCTTCACGTCCCCACCCAGATCTCATCTTGAATTGTAATCCCCATAATCCCCATAATCCCTATTTGTCAAAGGAGAGACCAGGTGGAGGTAATTGAATCATGGGGATGGTTTCCCCCATGCTGTTCTCATGATAGTGAGTGAGTTCTCCCAAGATCGGATGGTTTTATAAGGGGCTTCTTCCCCTTTGCTTAGCACTTCTCCTTTCTGCCACCTTGTGTAGAAGGTGCCTTGCTTCCCCTTCACCTTCCACCATGATTGTAAGTTTCCTGAGGCCTCCCCAGCCGTGCTGAACTGTGAGTCAATTAAATCTCTTTCTTTTATAAATTACCCAGTCTCAGGCAGTTCTTTATTACAGTATGAAAATGGACTAATACAGTGAGAAAAAAAATAGCTCTGGAGGGCTGGGTTACATTCAGGACATGTACTAAATATTTTAATGCATTTTTTTAGCAAGCACGTAAAATGTCTCCCCCAAGGCTTTAAGCTCTCTTTCTACTTCCCTAAAGGTTTCCCCATCAAAATAGGAAATAAATATTGAAGCTAGAAAAGGCTTGTCCCCTTCAAAGTAAGTAAGGGCACGCTTCATGACAGGCATATCTTTCTTCAGACAGTGGGGGAGGACACTTAATTCCTTCACCTAAGAAAAAAAAAGTTACAAAACAGCAACCTATGGAAACAAAAACATGGAATCAATGCATCGCCTGAAATAACTTCTCTGTAGTCCTGAGGGTGGTGTTTTGTTTGGCTTGTTCTCCTTCCCACCTTTTTATACCCCCCAAGGATCCTTCTCATTCTGTTGTAGCCAGGGCTCCTAGAGAAGGCTGTCAACATTGAAGGGCCCAGATCCCTTCTACCAGTTTTTCTTGTGCTTCCTATGTGCTTGTAACTGTGAATCTCCTGCTTTTCAAACAACTCTTCTGCCTTTTGTATGGGTATACATTAAAGGGGAAAATCAGGGCCTCTTCACACTACTCTGGCAAAATCAACCTGAACTGCTGGATTATAGGTCTTGGCATCTGGAGCTGCCTGCTTGAGCCCTGGCAGGTCTGGAGGCTTGGGGCTCTTTCATTGACTCAGGAAATATTTCTGCTTCCCACCCAGGACTTCTGTTGTCTCTTCCTCCCTTCTCCTGCCCTGCTCTCAGGACTCTTAGATGTAGCCCAGGTTTGCTTCCACACAGTTGACATTGGCGGTGCACGGTCTTCTCCCCTCTACGCCCTCAGATCTCCACGCCTGTGCCTATGACACGTGCCACCTGCACCGGTGTTGCCAAGCCTGGCTCCTCATCCGTGGCCACTCCTGCCCCCACAACCTGCCAGTCCTGCCTCCTTTTTGCCTGCCTCCTGCCTATCTTTACTTCACTGATTTCTTTGGCTGGAAAATATTTCTACAACTTCCCCTCCCACACTCACCTGGGGCTATGACATTGTTGTGGGCACTGGTTGGGCCTCGCCCCTGCCACCTAACAAGTACATCCTACAGGCCCAGGAGGGCATTATCTGTGGTTTTGAATTTCTAGTGTCTCGAACTGTACTGGCCCAGAGAGGACCTCAAATATGGAAAACTGAAGTGATTGCTTTCTGCACGCGTTACCTATGCACCCATGCATAACTCACACAAACTTACTGAATCTTCATTTACTCTTCTGTGAAAGGGGAGTAATCAAAGAAATGCACTTTACTAACAACAAGAGGATGGCATAGTTTATCTTTTAAACTGATAAAGATGTTCTGAAATAAGAATCTATGTTTTCAAGGGTACAGGACTTTGGTAGTTACACCATGACAGTAAAGATGCATATTTTAGGAACTTGGTGGGGGATAATTTGACAATACACATCTACATGTTTACATTGTACATACCCTTTGACTGACACTCCACTGTTAGAAATTTGTACTAAGGAAATAATCAGACCTACAACATAAGCACTTAGCTATAGGAATACTGGCCAAAGAGTTGTTGATCATACTCAAAAATTAGAAACAATCTAAATATGCAATAAGAAATATTTAAAATAAATTATATTGCATTCATCTGATGTAATATTATACAGACATTTAGAAAGCTCTTGTAGTCAAAGGATAAGTAGGTTACCTTTGGCATATTAAATGAGTAAAACTGATACTAAGTTGATATACCCATTGTGATATAATTTTCTTTGGTTCTTAAATATTTTTATATACCTAAGGAAAAAGATTAAAAGCTTATGAAACCAAAATATTCACAGTTTAGTTATCACAGTCTAGTGTGATTATGGGTAATTTTTATTGTTTTAATTTCATATTTTTCTGTTCAAAGTTCCATCGCTTGTTTAATTAAAAAAAACTTTTAAATAATATTATAAAATGACCATCACAGAAAAAAATATCATTAGGCAATATTGCCATGACTATAGACCTTTCTCCCTACACTGTTATTCTTACAGTTGGATGCTTTGAATCGGGAAGTGATATATCGCCTTGCTTTTCACTGGAGAAGGAAGCGCCAGCCTTTGTGAGCATGTGTATCACAAGCTAACTAGCACGAAGATTGCATAGCTCTTTCTACATAAGGCTACTGTTCGCAGAAATTTGGTCCATGGTCTCCAGTCTCTTGGGGTCTCACGCTCTGTGAAAATCTTCGTGTTTTTCCCTAGCCCCCAGAGTCACCTTTCACACAGCGTCTGCTTGTAACCGCGGTCCCCACAGGAGTTTGTAGGATTTCTGTGCCAGCGGTGAAGGTGTTCTCACCTTATAGAGCAAGGTAGAAACTACGCAGACAGGCGCTGTTCTTTGGGATGAAAGCAGGGCCTTTGGGGCTCTTTCTTAGTGTCCCCGTTCGGTTGTAGACATAACACGCTTGCTTTGTGTAGGAGATCGGCTCTGCCGGCGCCCAGGGGCCCTAACGCAATTCATCGAGACCCGCAGGTCAGAACTGCAGACTCACCTGTCTTGGCGGAAATGCGCTGCGCTCCTCCCTGTACTACATAAGCACGAGAATTCCACTACAGAAGAAAACCCCAGGCCTAGTGATGGCGGTTCTGGGCATTTTGCCAGCTTCTCCCAGGGTGTGTTTTCTGACCCCACCCACTTCTGATCTGTAATGTCATGGTCAATAGAAACTACTTGGCCCAAACGGAAAAGGCAAGGAGGAACACAGCGGGAAAGCCTATGGCGTTCCCTGGTGGCTACCCCGGGGACTGCACTCATAGATCCGCGTGTTCCGAGAAGCCTCTGCCATCCCGACCCCGGAGCCGTGCAGAAACCCGCGGCTCCAAAGAAAACCGGCTAGAACGCACAGGAAGCCCAGCCAGTGTTCAGGACACTGCGAGTGGAAGCCGTACGTCCCACGGACTGATCTAGTTTGCTGAAGACGAGCCATTTACTTCTAACCCCAGCAGCGGACATTGCCTTGCTCAAATATAAAATATATGAACCAAGACCGAAAGCAACTCTTATTGCGTTACTGATGAGCAAACGGGTTTTTAGAATGGTTAAGAAATGTCCCTTGTTTTGGGACCGTCATCACTAACGTATGCTTGGGATTCCTGATCGAGGAGCTTCTGAGCAAAGCAGCCCACCAATCCAGTGGCTGAGAACGGCTTGGATATTGGCTTCCAGGCGCATCAGAAATACTGAGGTTCTGACAAAGACGTGAGCTTCTGTCTGCCTTTGGGAAGGCCTTCTTCCAGTCCTGGCGCTGCCGCTTGCCTTCTGTTTGACCTGGGACCAGGTCCTTCAATTTGCTAGGCTTCAAGTTGGAAAGTGTTACAGGAAAATAATAATACGAAGTACTTCTTAGAGTTATTGCACAGATTACAGAAGATAGTCTAATAGTACAGCTAGCATCCTGTATGGCTTACATTAAGGATTTGCTGATAGGAAACAACATCCCAGATAAAGTTTTTTCCCCTTAATTATGAAATATAACAAAGGAAATTGTGTAGACTTATGCTTCAGGCCTCTGTAACATTTGAATGAATTTTGCACTTGTGAAGGTGACATCATTTTACAAAATCAGTTAATAATAAAGAATGACAAGTGGAATTTACAAAACATATATTCACAAAAAGAACTTGTTCTTAGCAGCTTTGTTTACAATAGTCCCCAAACTGGAAAAGGTTCATATGCATCAAGAGGTGAATGGACCTATTGTGATATATTCATCCAACGGAGTACTACCCTCAATAAGATGGGACAAATTATGGAAACATGAGATAGCATGGGCCAATCTCAAAAACCTCATGCTGAGTGATGAAAAGAGTGCATTCTATGTGGTGCCATCAAGATGAATTTCTAGAACATGTGAAACTAACCTGTATAGTGGCAGAAAATACATCATTAATTGCTGGGGTCAGGGAGTCGAGGGGACTGACTGCAAAGGGCACAAGAGGACCTTCTGGAGTAGTAGACATGTCATCAAACTTGAAATGGATGCAGTGTACCATATTCAACCAATGCCTTAATCAATTTGATTGTAAAAAGTAGTAAGAAAACCACTGCAGGCTGGACGCGGTGGCTCACGCCTGTAATCCTAGCACTTTGGGAGGCTGAGGCAGGCGGATGGGAGGCGGAGGTCGCAGTGAGACGAGATCGAGCCACTGCACTTCAGCCTGGGCAACAGAGCCAAAAAAAAAAAAAAAAAAAAAAAAACCTCCGTCTCAAAAAAAATAAAAAAAAAAAAAACACAGCAAATCATAATGCATTCTACTTAATTTAATGTATGTTTAGCTTTAGAGGATTCCTTTAGAAAAGCGTCTCGCTAAATGTGATTGAGAGTTCAG